>NC_000006.12:63519473-63822503 GCF_000001405.40 Homo sapiens | reverse complement strand
GGATCACAAAATATCAGTTCCACTTAGTAATTCGGTTTTCCATTTTTATATGATAGGTAAATCTATCTGCATTAAATTTCATGCTTTCATGTGGCCAGGTGTGGTGGCTCATGCCTGTAATTCCAGCACTTTGGGAGGCCAAGGCTGGCAGACACCTGAAGTCAGGAGTTCATTACCAGCCTGGCCAACATGGTGAAACCTGTTTCTACTAAAAATATAAAAATTAGCTGGGCATGGTGGTGCACGGCTGTAATTCCAGCTACTCGGGAGGCAGAGGCAGGAGAATCATTTGAACTCGAGAAGAGGAGGTTGCAGTGAGCCAAGACCACACCACTGCACTCCAGCCTGGGCAACAGAGCAAGACTCAGTCTCAAAAAATAAAAATAAAAAACTTCATGCTTTTTCCTTCCACATTTCGGACTGATTTAGCTAGAAAATTTCAAGGGAAAAGGAAAACTGAAATTCTTTCTCCCCTGTTTTGCTACCTACAGCACATGGCCCTTCATCATGGAGTTCAGGGACAGGAAAGGACAGGAGATTTCTTTCTTCACTGAAATGATTGAGTTGATTTAGCTTCACTGCTCTCTGGGTTTGGCATTCAGTCATCCATCCTTGTCTTGTGGAACAGTTTCACGGATGCTTTGGAGACCCCATGGCTGGAATTCTTCCACTTGCAATTTTCTTTGAGAAAAGGCATATCCATTCCAGCTGGTTGTTTGCTCCTTCCCCAACCTCTGGCATCTCATAGCATCTTCAGCTTTCCTTGCTGAGTGATCTTTGTCTCTTAAGGTGGTTCATTTGGTCAGAACTTAAGAAAACACACTATCTTTGTCCTACAGCTGAGCCACATCAGATTCCAGGCAGCATGCTCACATCCTTTCCCTGACAGCCTCTGGAGTGCTGAACAATTCCAGTCAAGAAGCAACCTGTCATTGGCTTTCTCCTTCATTGCAGTCAATTAATCTCCCACCTGTTAGACTTTCCAGGCAGAAGTCAGTACACTACGTCCCCTTTCCTCAAACTTCAGGGATACATATTAAGCTCTCCAAGTTGTGTTTCTAAAACCCTTCCCTCTTGATTTGAGGTGAAAGGGTGAGGGCTATAAGCCTTTTATACTCTCAATAAGGGTGAGGAATTCAAGAGTCACCAGCTGGTTTTCAGTCTCCTGCTTTATAAATCCCTCACTTTGATGTGTTGTTTCTACTTTCTTTGTGCTTCAGCTAGAACTTCTATTTTAACCTCTTGTTACACTTTCAAGCCCAACCTAGAATTAGAAATAAGAAATTTTCCAGTCACAACTTTAACCAAAAAAAAAAAAAACCTACAAAACACTTTGAATACATTTGATGAGAAAGGTGCAAGACTTCTATGTAGAAAATTATAAAACTTTAATAATATTATATATGAATGGCTTACAAAACTTTGCCATGCTAGCAGATGAGAAGATATAATTCATAATATAATTTTCTGAAATTATATTATTTATGGATTACATGAGAAAATTGCTATTTTAATACATAATTTCATAACATTTCAAAGCTTTTGAGTCTGATCTAGAATAATATGTATAACAACAACCCACCAATACCTAGTGAAAATATAAAAAATAAATAAATGTCCTTGCCTGGCCTTGCCTTGCTAGGTATCAGAACATATGTTAAACTACTATCATCGTTATCAGTGTGGTACTGGCATAGTAAGATACAAATAGATCAACAGGAAGAAGAGAAAATTAAGCAAAAGACCCCAGCATATATGAGAGTACAATTGATGACAAAATTGCTGTTTTATTCAGTTGTGAGATAAGGTTTTAATTAATAGATGAAACTGGCACAACTTATTCTCCACTGGAAGAAAACAAAATTAAGCTTCTTTTATATTATGTATTAAAATAAAACCTGGGATTATTAGAGACTTAAAGATGAAACATGAATCAGTGAATATCTCAGGACCAAATCTAAGAATTTGGAATAGCCTAGAGATGAAGGAATAATTCTTAACCAAGAGAGAAAATTCTGGAGCTGTAAAAGAAAACATTTGGACAATTTTTTTAAAACTATTGAATTGCAAAGGATTTCACATCTAAAGTCAGTAGAAAAACAATAGATTTGAAGAAACTATTTGTGAGGTGACAAAGGATTAACATAATATTCAAAGAGCTCTTTAGTATTGTCAAAATAAAGATAAAATCAAAGAAAAATAAGTAAAGCATATGAACAGACATCTCACTGAAGGGTATACAGTTGGCCAACAAGTAAAAGGTGCTCAAACTCACTAGTAATCAGGGAAATACAATTAAAGTAATAACTGGACAAACCACCCTCATCAGACTGTCAAAAATTAGAAAGAGCAATGATATAAATTACTGGAGGGAATTCAAGAAGATTATATGCACTTTTTTATGGAAACATGAATTGTAATTTTAGAATGCAATCTGACAGTATGTGGAAATGGCTGTGATGCAAGAATTAGAGGCCATGCAAGGCCTCAATGTGGACTTTCCCTTAAGAAGTAGTACTTCAGAAGTGTCACTGTTGAATCCTCATTTCCCCATGGCTACAAACAACCCGGACCCCTGATATAATCCCAGGGATGAAAGGGGGACTAGTCAGCCTAGTGGTAGGTTGATTACATCATGGGATTGGCAGGAATTTGTCCTTATTCTCCTGATTACTTGTTCTGGATTTGGATTTTCTTTCCCTACTAGTCATGGTTCTTCTACCATTTCTTTTGAGGGAGTTCATCAATACAGTGTGTCATTATGGTATCCTGCACAATATTACTTCTAAACAACAGGCTTCACAGTGAAAGAAATAAGGCAGGGAGAGATACTGAACTTATGAAATTTATCACCCAAAAGTTATTGGCCTTATAAAATAGAAATATCGTATATTAAAGACTCTGTGGCAGCATCAACTGGGCCAACCTTCAGGGTAACAGCACCATTCTGAAAGATGTCATGTATGCTGTGAAACTTTAACTGACACGTGGTGCTATATTTTCCACAATCATACTACACAGATTCAGAAACCAAGGGGGAGCAGAAGAGCAGTCTGTCTCGTGATCATCCCTAAAGACCCACTCACAATTTTTCCTCTCTCTGTGACTCTGAGCTCCACTCATTCAGAGGCTTTTGGCACCCAAAAGGGTAAAGCTCTCAAGAGACATAGCCATAGTCCTATTGAATCAGAATTTACATCATCCACCTCCCTTTCAGGCTTCCATGAAACCACACAAACAGGTATGAAGGGGCTTGAAGGTGTTGCCCCGAGTGACTGATCACAATAGGCACAGAGAGGAGAGTCATGCATTCATTTATTCATTCAATAAAGAGAGCCTCCTATGGGCAGGCACTGTTCCAAGTGCTTAGGATGCAGCAGAAAACAAAAATGACAAAATCCTGCCTTCACGGACCTTACATTTCAGTGAGGTGGGGAGACAGTCTAGTGATTTGTGAGAAGGTAGATTATAAGTGCTATGGAAAAACAAAAACAAAAATGCTGAGAAGAAAAAGAGAAGAAATCCCTGGGAGGGGATCAAGGTGTTTTTATAAGAATTCAAGATATTTTTGGATGGAAGGAGACAACTCACTTGGATAGATGAATGGCAGAACTTTTTGTTACTTACAGCTTCAAATGGGAGAAGACTGCCACAGGGCCACACGGAGGTTTCCCTTGGAAAGGGCTTTTGTGTGGCAAGTCAGGTGGGGTTAGTTAGGTTTTGAGGGCTCTCTGTAGATTGGCTAATTGGAATAATTCTGAGGGCTCCAAGGTGTGTCCCTAGTTGTCTGGTGCCTGTCCCAGGGCAATTAGGACAGGAGTGTGGTGGCCTGGAATGTGAGAGTCCAGGGAAATGACTAGCCTCCAACCAGGGCCCCAGACTGGGTTTAAGACAGCATTTCTTAAAAAACCTTACCACACAGAGGAAGGTTAGAAGTAAATAGAGTGTACAGGATAGGACAAGATAGGCCTCAGGGAGAAGGAGAAGGGTGGAATTGAAAAAACACTGAAGGTGAGAGAATTAGCCAGCAGGTGAAAAAGTGTTCTGGTAAAACCCAGGTAACCCTCTCAGTCAAAGAAGCTGTGAATATGGATGAGGAAAAAAAAACTACATCTTTCTGTGAACTCCAACAGAAACTTAATGTATTCTTAACTATGAAAATCAGCATAAAATCACAGTTGTATTATCAGCACCTGCAACTTTGTCACCAAGAGAAATCAGATCCCTTTTTATCAAATGACAGTTGTTATATACTGTATTAAAATATGCTTGTGCCCCCTCAATGTGAAACTGCTGTAGTTATTATACCTGCTGCTAGATTTTGCTATTTAAATACATTATGAAAGGACTATACTGTTTCCTTCATGACAAAACATTTGTTATAATTTATTAATTGTATTTCAAAAAGGTGGATTTGTTTTATAATCTTAGGTATTTTACTGTATGAATTTAAAAACATTATTCTGAGGAGGGTTCCCACTAGCTTCCCTAGACTGCTATAGAGGTCCATGACATGCATACATTAACAGGCACACATGCACACACACAGTGAGAAGCCTGCCTTGGGATAGTGCTTCACACATCCAATGGTAAGAGTTAATGGAGGCCTCGTGAAGCTCCTGACCGCAGGCCCACCATGGCCTGGCCTCTCAGGAATGATGACTTGCATCACCACACCAGATAAAGAATCCAACCAACTGCAGGGCAGGCGGCAAGCAAGGAGGACACAGAAGAAAGAATTTAAATTTGCTTCCCCTACGTGAAAGGAGAGAGCATCCAAAGAAGAAAGTTCTAATATGAGAAGTGGCCTTATGACCAGTTCCAGGAATCTGGAGTTTAGCCCCAGGGCTTCCTGGTGAATGCCAGTCATTTGCAGGTTAGCTCTGAGATGCATTTCTCACCCTGTACAAACTACATTTTCTCCTACCAAGGCAAGGTCCTGTCAGGAGACAGGAGACTGGGGGGAAGAGAAGCTACAGAATTTCTCCCCTCTCCCCTCCACTAGTAGCTGCATCCGCGATTGGTTCCAGCTGCCACTTAACAGGTCCCCAAGCTACCCGTGGTCCCATGTCCTGATGAGCAGCCCCCATTACCGGACCCAGCTCCTGTCAGGAGGTTGCAGCTCTTGGGCTTTTGTAGCACTGTGTCTTCCCTTTGTTCTTTCAGCCATAGAGGTAGCAGCTGCTTTCAGCTGTTCAGTTGTTGCTATCCTCTAGGTGGCCTCACCATCCCCTGTTTGCTCTCCCTTCATAATTAGCTCCCTGTATCAAGTCTTTCCTTTTGACTATCTCTTGTGGATGCTGATAAGCAAAAAAGCACAATAGTAGCATTACCTTTGATTCTGTCACCAGGAAAAATCACAGATACTTCCATATCACATTACAGCTGTCATATGCTCTCTGGTTTCTGTAAAGCATTTGAGTTTAGTAACTGAAATTTAGTCTATATCAGGACAGTATCACAACATAAACATGAGAACAAATGGCCATTATGCAGAGATTCCTTCTGTACTTGGAACAAAATGCAATAAAAGAAAAGACTTTAAGAAGTCTCCAATTGGGAAAGAAGGGTGACACTTTTTTTGATTATATGTGGGATTGTTGCATTATGTTAAAAGGAAGTTATTTGAAAATGCAAGTATAAGAAGGATGCACGTTGGCACTCAGCAACCAAAGGTCTGTGGGAAACATTTATTGGGTATTACGTTTGTTTCAGTTTTGGATTTTGGCCACGTAGCACGTGAACTTCCTTCTTATTTGCGTACATGTACATGCCTTAGGATAAGCCAATGGGATAATCTCCCCAAGATTTGCACCCTGAAGAAGTGGTCCAAAGAGAGAGAGTAATATTTAGAAATTATTTGTAGCTGAGGTAGTTGCACAGCTGTCCCCAGTCATAGAAATACCAGTGGCTGCATCCTGAAATAGCTGTTCACACAATGTGAACTTGGCAGTATTTGAGCTACCTATGTTCCTTTGTTTTTCCTGCTTTCCCTGCTAGTTCTCCAGCCCTCCCACTGACCATGAGGTAATCTGTCTCCTTTCCTGCTTAAGATGGTCAGGGTTAGTTTATATTGCCAGTAACCAAGAAACCTAATTGGTACAGTTTTATTCCAAGTATTTCATGCTATAGCAAATAAAATACTTTATTTCATTATGTTTTCTGATTGTTGTTCTTAATTATTCCAGTCATCTTTTGTAGTTCTATAATACTCCATTATAGTTTGAGATAGGCACCTGCTCACTATTAGTACACAAAATCTTGGGGCTATTAGATATAACAAGATCCTTTCCAATTAAAAATAGTACTCAATATATGTTATACCTTGTGAATCATGTATGATATTTTTATTTTGTTAGTATTACTTAGAATAATCTCTTATACCATATTAATATGAAATCTTTTTATATGCTTTTGAAACATCATGTGGTGTTGTGGTCCCCAGAAATGAGTTAGTATTTTGCAAGATGCCACTGCCTTCTTCTAGTACTTCAACAGCTAAACCACAGTTGTCTTAAAATTATAGTTTTCCCTATAGTATCCCTGGTTAAGATTTTTTTCTTTTTTCTCTCATGATTAGAGTACATACTGCTTTTTGATAAATCATCCTTATTAGATTTTTGCTTTTCCTAATCTTTTATACAATACCAAAAACAAAAATAAAAATTATTGTCAATGACCTGTATATTTGTGTATGCATGTGTGTGCCTGTGTCTCCAAACGTTCAAGCACTTAGAAACCTTTAAGGACATATGGATCTTTTAAACCAGTTTTTTATTTATTATCTATGCATATTAGAAAACAATTGAGCTTCTATTAAAACTTATTTGCTGATAAATTCATTGGTATATTGGTATATCCTGAATATCAGTTAAATGCTTGACACTGCAAAGTAGTTAATATGTGTTTACATTTCTATTAAATATAGAAGGAGGAATGAGTTCTACAGAATTTTATTCATCCATGGCCAGGACTTGGGAGGAAAGTAAAGTGGTAGATAGTCAATTTGTGGGGAGTGCCAACTTTAATAATGTAATATTTTAATAATTACATAAAATACCTACCAGTGGCCTTTAACTGGCCAATGTCATGAGTATCCCAACCATCATAGTGAGGTAGGTAACATAGAGCACAGGCTTTGGAGTCAGATGAACAGGGGTTCAGATCTTGACCCTGTCATTTCTTAGCTCTGTGACTTAACATCTCTGAGCCTCAATTTCTTCATCTATAAGATAGGAATGAGGTAGAAGTACATCTCACTGGTGTTCTGTGAGAAATAAAGTAATTTAGATAGGGCATCTAGCAGCTGGGACATAATAGATACTATAATTGCTATTTTTAATATTTTAGAATATACAATAGTGCATCTAAACAGCCATATCTTGAAAAATGATATAGTAACAAACTAAAAGAATGTATCCACGGAACTTGAGCGATAACCCACTCCAACCTCAATGTTTCTTAATTTCTGAACTAAATATTCACGGGCATGAAGAAATTCATGAGTTAGAAATGAGAAAATTATTCAAAACACATCAGTTCCAGAATATCCTGTGTGTGTAATAGCTAGGAATCTTATTTTATCACAATAAACTACTAACCAAGGGAATGTAATCCAGTATAAACCTGCACAGCTTATGTAATATGAATTATAGAGGATGTGAAAATTTTACCATGCTCAAAGCTTAGGCCATGAACTGTAATGTATTGCAGATACTATGATTATGATTTGAACCTATATGTTTCAGGGATTTTTTCCCCTTTTCTGACACTTTGTGATACTATAAAACATCCTACCAGTACCTAGTTACTTTGAAAAGCCAGAAGATGGCACTAATTTCTAAGAATTATGCATCTAAAAAGAATGCTTCAGATTCTAGCATGTATTATTTCTTTTGCTGGTGGAAATTATAATGCTCTGCATTTTCAACAGTTTTTCTATCTTAATGTAAAACTCTGTTTGTTCTTAGCTTTTTCTTGATGATTGGATAAAGAAGTTAGAATGGTAGTAATTAAATATCTATATAGAATACGTGAATAATTTATTATGAGCAGGAATTGGCAACCAACCAATCATATTTATTTCATGTTTATACCTGTGGGTGAATTCGATATTATATATCCATTTGAATAGAGAGCTTGATTTTATTCATGTACCGGGTATCTCTGTCTTGGTTCAGAAGGAAAAGGTAACTGTATGTTTTCTGTGCAGGCTACCATCACCTATAACTGTTGGCGATATCTCCGGACATATTTATTTCTATTCCCTTTAAAAAATAATCACATTTGTAGGTTGCCATTTTTATTTCTAAATGATAATGCTGAACAGTGTGAAAGTGTATTCCTCAAGGAGTTTGTTCAACAACAAAAAACAGAAACAACAAAGACAATGACCACGTACATAGTTTGATAACCTAATTGCATTTCGGCAGGATATTGAGCTAAATCTGGTGCTGTGTTACTAAGAAGTTAAGAACAAAGACAGAGGAAAGACGTGTATACTCAAAGCTAGGAAGGAAAACTGGAGAGGCAAGCAATCATCTTGTATTTTTGCAAATTTATCCATCTGCCTAAGGGTAGATTAATTTTCCTGGCAAAGTTAAATGTGTATTTCAAGATACGCTACACTGCTGAACATGATGGTTGGAAAACTGGCATTCTGGAGTCTTTCAAAATCAGCAGTTTCCAAGGGAAGATCTACCTACCATCTGCTTGCTTCATTAAAATACATCATAGAGAAGGAAGAACTGAATTGGATTTTCACTAGCTCAGCGCTCCCTGGTGTCCACTCTGCTGAGGTTATACACAGCAGCCTACATAGAAAACAGAATCCAAGAAAAAATCACCCACAGGTTTTTGTCTTTTGTATCTGTTTAAAAACAGCAATGAACTCCAAAAAATTATATATTTAGACCAAACAATCTATCTTGAAAACACTTAAAAGTTTCAAGTAATTTTTGATGCACTTAAGAAAATTTTTTCAACACCACATGTAAAATTTTAAGCATGATCTTAAAGGTATCATACATATATTTTGTCAGGTAAAAGGCAAAATATTCTGTCAAAAACTATCAATTGTCCCAAGAAACCTAGTCAGTATTTTTAGCTCACAAATTAAAGAAGACATTATTTTCAAATATTAAATGGAAACTAATGTTTATAAGACAAAATGTATAAAATTATAGTTCTAGTTATACAACTTAATTATTAAAAACAACAATTTGGGCCAGGCCTGGTGGCTCATGCCTGTAATCCCAGCACTTTGGGAGGCCAAGGTGGGCAGATCGCTCGAGCTCAAGAGTTCAAGACCAGCCTGGGCAACACGGTGAAACCCCATCTCTACAAAAAAATACAAAAGTTAGCCAGGCATGGTGGCGGATGCCTGTAGTCCCAGCTACTTGGGAGGCTGAGGTGAGAGGATTGTTTGATTCCAGGAGATGGAGGTTGCAGTGAGCCAAGATTGCACCACTGCACTCCAGTCTGAGTGACAGAATGAGACCCTGCCTCAAAATAAAAAAATAAAAAATAAACTGATTTGTCAGGTTAGGGGTCCCTATGCCTTGATTTTCAGTATGTATTATATTATCTGAATTTTTACCCACACTAGAAGAATTAAGATTCCATATTATTGCAAAAACTTAGTAACATTTTTTAGAGGAAAGGACTTAGTACAAAAAACAAATTCAAACAAGCAATGATTAGCATTGGTGATAGTGTAGAAATCCACTTCACAACTTCATCCAGTAGCTCTATAAGTGCAGAATAGTTAGTCACTTAAGAACAGAGTTGTGAAGATACTAGATAAACAGTAATGGCAGAGATATACTATCATAATATATATTACTATGTCCTTAACACTACTTTAACCTTTTACATGTATTCAACCATTTGATAAATATGTATCTTATGCCCAATTAGACCATGAAGGACAGGCAAGCTCTCTGCCCTAGTGGAATCTGCAATCTGAGTGGGGAGAAAAAATAATAAAAAGTAAACAAATAACATATAATGGAATTGGGCCATGTAAATAAAGCAGGTTAAGAGACTAGAGAGTACGGGGTTGGGAAGGGCAGGGCACAAGGAGTTACTACTTTAATAGGAGATTAATACTTTAATAGGGTGGTCAGGAAAGGCCCTGTGAGGAGAGAACACCTGAGCGAGTCTTGAAGGAAGTGAGGGAGCAGGCCATGCAGCTTTTGGGGAAAATGTGGTTCAGGCACCGGGAACAGGAGCAGAAGCCTTGAACTGGGAGTGTGTTAGGTTTGCTTGAGAAACACGAAGAAGTTAGCATGGCTGCAGCAGAATGAGAAAGAAGAAACGAGTATAAAATAAATCTGGAGATTGGGAGATTTAGGCTATGTTCAGGAGTTTTGATTTTATTTCAAACTTCAATGGAAAATGCTGGAGAAACTTTGACACTCAATTTATATTTAAAAGACCACTTTGGCTACAATACGGAAAAGAGATTGTAAAGTGATAAAGGTAGCAACACGGAGACCAGCTAAGAAGCAAATATTATAGTTTGGGCTACAAAGAACAGTGCATTGAACGTTGATGGTATTAACAGACACAGTGAAAAGCGGCAGTGTAATTTGGGATATATTTTGAAGATGAAGTTAACATATTCGTCAGTTTGTCAGTTGAGGTAGCAGAGAAAGATACCATTTAAGGATGATGCCTAGTTTTGCTCTGAGCAAAGAGAGGGAAGGCTGGGAAACAGATTTGATTGCAAAGGAAGGGAAGGGATTTGGGTTGGGGGAAAGAATACAAATAGTGGAATAAAGAGTTTTGCTTTGTGTATGATCAGTTTGAAATTCTTATCAGACATACAAATATATGTTCATTATCTAGTAGTTGGTTGGATATGTGAATCTGGAGCTCTGGAAAAAAGCAGGGATAGAGACTGTTTACTCAGGACTCATCCACCTGTAAACGGTACTCATGATCAAATACAGAATGATGGTAGATGGAGATAACTGGAAGAAAAGGAGAATGAGGAGCAGCAGTCATTAAGGTAGGAAAAAATATCAGGACAGTGCAGTGGTCATGGAGACCAAGTAAAGAAAGCATTTCAAGAGAAAAGAAATAATCAACCTTGTCAGTTGCTTCTGAGACACTGAATAAGATAAAAACAGAGAATTGACATTTAGTTTAGAAAGACTGTGGTCACTAGTGATCTTAACATACAAAAGTTCAAAGAAAAGATAGAGAAGATAGCCTGACTGGAATAAAATCGAGCATGAATGGTAATAAATTTTGTAAGAGTCAATACAGACAACTCTCTAGAAGCCCCTTGATAGTATGTTGAGCAGAGAAACATGCAGTAGCTAGAGGGGAATGTGGAGTGGAGGGAAGCTCTTTATTTATGATGGGGACATTCTAGCATATTTCATGTTAAAGGGAATGCTGCAGTAGAGAAGAATAATTTGGTAACTCCTGGGAGGCAGGACAGAATTTCTGAAATGATGCCCTTGAGCAAATGAGAAGGGGTGGATGAAATACCCGGGCAGAGTCAGCCTTGTCAGCAGAGGGAAGGCAAAGCATATGGATAAAAATTAAAGATTTGTGGGTGGGAGAATTTGACAGTGAAAGCATCAGGTAGTTCTCTGTTGATGGGTTTTTCTCAGCAAAATAAAAACCAAGATTATTAATTCATAAGAGACAATAAATATTAGATGTTTGAGGAGAGAGGAAGCATTAAATAGCCATTTTAGAGGCTGGGAAAGTGACTTGACTGGAAATATGTAGTAGGATTGCTGGTATGGTGGAAGAGGTTTGCCCACTTGAATTGTATGTTTAGCTCGAGTGTGTTTTCTTCAGCCATGGGCTTTTCTCATTCTTCACAGATGTTAGGTGCTCTTACATTCTCATTTTATGAACAAAGAAACTAAAACAGAAAAGTGAAATAACTTACCCAAGTTTACACAGAAAGTAAAAACATCCAGAATCAAGCCTGAGCTGGCCAGCCCCAGCTGCCTCCCTCCATCACTATGCCATAGAGTAGCTCATGTTTTACTACCAGCCGGTGGGCTTCAGGATGCATCACTGCAGAGTTGAAGAAAGGTGTTCTGAAATCTGAACTATTTATATGTCTTCTTTCCACATTCCAATAGTTCATCTTAGCCACTTCTGTGCATTGTGCATAAACTTTAATAATTCAGATTAAAAGATTAACCGCAGGTTTTTTTGGGGGGGGGGGTTGTTTTTGTCTTTGTTTTGGTTTTTTGTTTTTTTTTTTTTTTTGAGATGGAATCTCGCTCTGCCTCCCAGGCTGGAGTGCAGTGGCGCGATCTCGGCTCACTGCAACCTCCGTCTCGCGGATTCAAGTGATTTTCCTGCCTCAGCCTCCCGAGTAGCTGGGACTACAGGCGCGTGCCACCACACTCGGCTAATTTTCTTTTTCTTTTTTCTTTTTTTTTTTTTTAAAGTAGAGGCGGGGTTTCACGGTGTTAGCCAGTATGGTCTGGATCTCCTGACCTCATGATCCACCCGCCTCGGCCTCCCAAAGTGCTGGGATTACAGGCATGAGCCACCGTGCCCGGCCACAGCAAAATATTTTTAAAAGGAAAAAATAGTCACATTAAACACAATAATGCCTTATTTCTCGGCCATATTGGGAATGAGAAAAATTTGCCTTAGTAAATGATTAGAAAATAGAATTTTATACCCTTTCTGTGATAACTTTTGCTAAGAAGTGTTTTATAAGCATAACATTTTAAAAAGATTATACATTGAGCCTATAATATAGCACTATAATATAAAAGAAAATATCACAATATTCCCTCTTTACTCAAGGCTCTTAGAATTTTTAATGCCCCGAGATGATGTCTGGATACCTTTTGACTGTGCCTGAAATGATCCCAGAGCATTAGTGATTTTGCTTTCTTCTTCTACACACTAAACAATTTATTTTAGTTTAAATTCCAGCATCTCCCTTTTTTCTTCATGTTTCCAATTCATTCATGTAACTTTAGAAGAACTGACAAAAAAATGCATGACTTTACACATGGTATCTGTGAGGCAACTAGGGATTGCAAAAATTAAAAAAATATATACATTTAATAGCCCAAAAATAGTCCCATTACAATCTGTTCAATTTCCTGATTAGATGATGACTGATCCTTCCAGAAGGCTGATCTGGGAATTTATGCAGTAGAGTAACCAAATTAACCAAATGTTACCTGGCGGAAGATGGAAAAGGGCTTAAAGTATTGAAAAGAATGATTTGTAAGGTTGAAAGTCTTCTTTCTCCTAGTCTGAGTCCCTCACGTTCTTCTGCCTAATTCAGAGTTATAGAGACAGTGTGGGTGCAGACATAGAAGCCTCTTAGTGATGGATTATATTATCTTTGACCTCTTCTCCTGATTCCTATTGCTCCCCACAGAGGCCCTACCTTTTTATAGGTTCAAAGTTACCAAAAGAAAAAGCCCCTTGAAGTAAGTCACAACTAACGGTTTAGAGGAAGAACTTAACCTATCAAAACATGCTTGGATCTCTCTGCGTTGCCATTCAATAGAAATAGAATGTGAGCTGCCTATGTCATTTTGTTTTCTAGTAGCGACATTTTTCAAAGTTAAAAGAAACAGGTGAAATTTATTTTAGTAATATATTTTATTTAACCCAATGTTTAACGGATATGGGAATGTTATTAATAATATATTTTACATTCTTTGTTTCATACTGAGCCCTTCCCACACAGGCCTAACCACAATTCAAATGCTCAACAGCTGCAGGTACCACTAGACTAAGAAATGCTGAGCATTTGACAGATCCATTCCTATGGGTCATGGTTATCATCAGTCTTCATTATTATTCTCAAACTTCAAAAGTACTTATTTTTGATAGTAAAAATTATATCATGAAATTGCACTGATAATGTATTTCCATTAGCTGTTTAAATATCACACCATTGCCTTAATGAGTTACTCATAAATTGCCTTACATTTAGATTTCTGCATAAGCTTAATTCATTGTTAGATTTCTTGATATCAAAGTTCTTATTTTCATCCTTGACCAAAGTTTGGTCCTCCAGCTCTCTGTCTAATCTATGATTCACACTTCATCAACAGAATAATATTTCTAAAAAGCAACTTTGATCATTGCCCAACTACTTTAGGATAATAAAGAAAATATATAGTTCTTCATGATTTGACCACTGTCTATCTTGTTTCATTTCCTTCCACTCTCACTTTTCTTCTTCATTCTAAAATTTGCAGACTTCATAAGTTCCCTGAGTATGACATGCTGTTTTGGTCTTCACACCCTAGAACATGCTGTTTCTTCTGCCTGAAAGTTCTTATACCAGGCCTCAACTTTCAGTCCAGTTCAGCTGAATAAATGTATTGACTTCACACTAATCCCTTGAGTGACTAGTGCTTTTTTATCTTTGTGTCACCAGCATCTAGCACAGGTTCTGACAGTAAAATACCATATATATGAGATACGTATTTGTCAATCTAGCCTAAATGTAACCTTTAGGTAGACTCAGTTGTAAATTATTAACAGGAAGAAATATTAAAAGCAAAAGATAGTCATTCCTTTTCTATTTTAGTATTAAATTTAACTGAATTCTATTTTCATAGTTTTTAATGCCAACATTGAATGATGGTCAGTATTTTTATTCTGTTTCAACTCCAGTACATTTCATTTCCCTCAATCACCCTCCCCATAGTACTACTGAAAGTGATATACCTGAGAGTGTTATTATCTCAGGGACACAAATTATAAAGTTTTCATTAGATTAAAAAATAAGTATAAGAAGCAATATGTCTCAAAAGTCCCTACTTCACATTCTGGTGAGTTTTGAGAAAATTACATTTAACCTATGCCACACATCCCAGGGAATAAACTGATAAGATTTTAATAAAATATCAAAACAAAGTATTCAGCTTCACACAAATATCTTAGTTTAATAGTCATAATAAACTGATAAGATTTTAATAAAATATCAAAACAAAGTATTCAGTTTATTCACACAAATATCTTAGTTTAATAGTCATATAAAACAAAGATATACAAGCCTTTGATAATAAGCATCATTTTTCCTAAATTATTTGCTGTATACACAATTATAAACAGACATAAGAAGCTCTTTTAAGTGTTACATACCAGAGTGAGTATATTTCTTAAGGCTTGTAAAAATTCTAATTTTACAGCTTCCCTGGAGTTCCAACATCTCTTGAGAAGGAAACAACATAAGCTCTTATTTCCTCAACCGAGCTGTCCCCAACCAATAAAAATAGATCCTAGGAACATCCCTTAATCTGGTGACATCATCCATAAAAGACAGGAATGGGGTGTCAAAATCCCCTTTCTATTTTCTGTTGTCCTCTTTGGGTAAGGAGATTTAAAAAACCAGTGGAGACTTATGAAGGAAACAGTACAATGAAAGAGAAGAGTTCGATACAAGAAGCAACCCTCAGTTAAATTCTATTTTGTTCACACTGGCCCTTGAACTTCATCTAATTTTACCATTTCCTGTTTTTAATAAATCTCCCTACACTTTCACACCAATTGAATTCCATGTTTTTATTACTTAAGAAGCATCTCAGCAAAGAAATAATGAACATTTCTTTTAGACAATTATTTTTACTTAAAGAAAAGCTCTGGTCACTCACCAATGATGATAGAAAACTGACCGATTTCCTTCCTATTTCTTGACTTTCCTAGCCCTGACCTGGGGCTTTGGCTCAGATAAAGGTGCAGGATTAGAAAAGCACAGTTTGTTCAAAGGTGTGAGCTCCTCTCTAAGTCATATCCAGGTTTTGGATGCCAAATCATGTTTACGAGGCACCTGAGTAAATACTTTGTTTGGCTGCCAGTAATCTTTTCTATTTCTAAAATTAAGTTTCAAAATATAGGGGTTTGCTTTTTAAGTAAATTATCCATTATGTAGAAAGAGTATGCTAGTGAAAGGATTATATAGAAGATCTCAAAACACTGCATTTCCTTTGTTCTGGTTTTGAAATTTCCTGTTGAGTCACTTAGTTGCTCAATGCTGAAGGGCACTAAAGTATAATTAATGTAATAGTAAACAGACTATCTGGCCAGATGCATCAGCAAAACGTAACCCTCACTTTACAAATACATGTACAGGTTTATTTTAACTGTTTGGTTTGGGTTTTTTCACAGCTATTAATATTACTCAGCCAAGGTTCAGTGGCACAGATGCCTTTGGATACACCTCATTCCTGGCTTATTCACGGATCTCAGACATCAGCTTCCATTATGAATTCCACCTGAAGTTTCAGCTGGCAAACAACCACTCAGCACTGCAAAATAACTTGATATTTTTTACTGGACAGAAAGGCCATGGTAAGATTAACTGAACCCTCTAGGACTTGCCTCGCTCCTTTAAGAATACTTTAGAGATTCCTCAGGGACACTCTAATTGGCTGTGGTAAAAAAAAGACCTTTGCCTAGATGCAGCCTCCTCCTGTTTTCTGCCTTGAGCATGTTCGCTGTAGTCCAAAGTACTTAGCAGTTCCCTGATCCTTTCTGAAGCTCTACTTTGCATCAGGGCTACTGTATTAGTCAGTTTTCATGCTGCTGTAAAGAACTGCCAGAGACTGGGTAATTTACAAAGGAAAGAAGTTTAATTGACTCACTGTTCAGCATGGCTGGGGAGGCCTCCGGAAATTTACAAGCATGGTGGAAGGGGAAGAGGAAGCAGAGTACTTTCTTCACAAGGCAGCAGGAAGACGTGCCTAGTAAAGGGGAGAATTTCTCCTTATAAAACCATCAGATCTCCTGAGAACTCACTCACTATCACGAGAACGCATGAGGAAAACCACCCCCATGATTTAATTACCTCCACCTGGTCTCTCCCTTGACACCTGGGGATTATGGGGATTACAATTCAAGATGAGGTTTGCGTGGGAACACAAAACCTAACCATATCAGCTACCTTTCATAATCAAAAGAAAAAATTCCTACAGGCAAACATGAGGACAGGGAAGGTGACCAAGTCACATGGGAAGTAAGTTTATTGATTTGTCCTTTCCTCTGTTTCTTTCTGTTTCCATGTCTGAAGAGAGAAGGGAAATTCTCATTTTTCCATGTGTTATAAAATGGAAATGGTTGTTGCCCTCAAAGAAAACCATTCTAAATTAAAGGAGCAAGAAATTAAGAAAGTACTCAGCCTGTAACAAAGTACTCTAGTGCCCTGGAATTGGTGGGAAATCAACTTATAACTTACATTTGTCTCTCTTAAGTAGAAACTAGTTATGCATGTGCTAAGTCAAGGAAAATTACCTATGTTTTACTTTTAAGTCTGCAATCAACAGTTAAGCAATTAATCACCTAACTTCTCTGAGTTCAGTGTTTTCATCTGTGAGATCAACATATTGTAACAGAAAAAGACCTTTCTCTCAGCTGTCAGTGGTTCTACGGTGCTAGGGTAAATAACATATTCTGTTTTTTTCAACTCAATCAGTGACTGTCTCTTAATACCAAACACTCTTTTCTGTATCAGCATATGTCTGAAAGGAGCCTACACCCCAAATGAAATGTGGTATTTCAGACTCCCACCATGTCTGCTAGGATGGGGTACTCTATCATGTAAAGTACTATTCATTCTACCTCCAAAATTTGTTTGAATCTCTTCCCCATCCCTATGCTGAAACCTCATGACCTCTTCCTGACTGGTCTCCCTACTGATTTCCTGCCTGCAATTAATTATCCACATTGTAATAAGAGTTAGCCTCTTAAAAGGTTTATTAGATCATGTCTGAACCTTGTTTAAAACCCATCTGTGGCTTTTTACTGCACTTAGAATGCAATCCAAACCTCCTTATCATGTTCTCAAAGGGCCTTCAGGATCAGATCCCAGTCTGCATCTCTGAACACAACCAGGCCACTCTCACTATCTCTGTGCTTTTCTCCTACAGCTCTTCTTCCAGTGCCTTAACCACCAAGTGCTTTCCTGTCTCAGAGGTTTGGTGCATGCTTTTTCCTCAGCCTTGACAGGAAATAGCTATCATAGTGGTCAAGGGAGCAGGCTCTAGAGACTGGTGATGTAGACATGAATCAGTCTCCACCATGTGCAAATTATGTGTCAAGTTACTTAATGTCTTTGTGCCTCTATTTTCTAACCTATCAAATGAGTATAGTAACAGTGTATTTCCTTACAGCGTTGTGAGGAATAACGAACTTAATACATGGGAAGCTCTTAAAATATTGTTGGACTCGGCCAGGCGCGGTGACTCACGCCTGTAATCCCAGCACTTTGGGAGGCCAAGGTGGGTGGATCACCTGAGGTCAGGAGTTTGAGAGCAGCCTGACCAACATGGAGAAACCCCGTCTCTACTAAAAATACAAAATTAGCCAGGCATGGTGGTGCACACCTGTAATCCTAGCTACTTGGGAGGCTGAGGCATGAGAATCGCTTGAACCCAGGAGGCGGAGGTTGCAGTGAGCCGAGATTGCAGTGTTGCACTCCAGCCTGGGCAACAAGAGCAAAACTCTGTCTCAAGAAAAAGAAAAAGAAAAAAAATCATTGTACTCAATAAACACGGTAGTGTATCTTTTCTCAAAAGGGCCTTCTGTAGCCACCTTCACCAAAGTAAGTCTTGTCCCACCCCATCCAAGTTATTCTCTACCTCAGCTTCTTATTTACTTCCTTCATTGCCATTACTTTAATTTAGTATCCTTTTATTTATTTTTAATATAGTTGTTTCTTGTCTGTTTTCACTAACAGAATGGGAGCTTTACATAGAAAGAGATCAAGTCAGCCCTGTTCAACTTTATACACCCATGCTTAGCCCAGTGTCTGACCATAATCAGTATTTAATGAATGAATAAAATAACCACAATAAGAACAAATAATTGCATGAGATATAAGTCCACAACAGAGCTTCACAAGGATTCCTAAAGAGTGGTCATTCTTAGGGATTCTCAGTTCAAATGCTATGTCCTCTATTAGTATTTCCCCAGCGGTTCCCCTCCTCGCAACTCTTCCATCAATTCCCCTTTGTCTGAGCATGGACAGCCTGTTCTGCATTAGGATGTGGAGCCTTTGTTACAGGCTTTGGCTGGCTGCAAAGTTCTAAATTTCTCTTCTCACTTATAGAAATGGTGATTTATCACTGTATCACCCACAAAGCTTCTCTCCAATGGTTTTAATAAATATCTATGAATGTGCCCACTATAGCGCAGGAAGGGAAATAAAGAATTCCTACTCCTAACCCTTTACTCTGCACACCACTTATCATATATTTATCAATTAAACCCTTCTGATTTGAAAAAAAAAAAAGCCTGGCAAATGAAAACTTCAAATGAATATTGCAGACCCTAGGTCTGTCTTGTTTCAAAACAGATATTCTAAATCCTGATAGAGTCAAATAGGGAGAACCCAAGCAAAAGACAAACACCTGGACCATGATACTGAAATACTGCCACCAAAACCCTTTAGTACGCATCTACCAAATTCTCCTTCAAAATCTTTAACACACACATAAAAAATATAAAGCAATGTTTTAGCCACCTCATTTCTAAATTGTGAAATCTTACATGTGACATTTTCTAGTCCTCTCTAGTATTTTGCTTTGTATGCAGAGGAATTAATGCTAATTCTACATTTGCATTTATAGGTTTATTGCATGGTTAAATAAAGGTTAGATAACAGATTGATAAACTGTGAAGTTCATTTTCTAAAAACTGAAAATGAGAGCTCTAAAACATACAGTTGCACATTGCACCACATGAGGGAGCAAGAAGACCAGCTGAAAAATACAAATCATACTAAAGAGCTTTTTCTTTAAATGGACACAATAATTGTACATATTTATGGGGTATAACGTGATGTTTCAATATACAATATATTGAATCATGTATATTGAATATATACATATTGTGTAATGATTTAAGATAGAGTTTCTCCAAATAAGAGCTCTTCACACATATATTAAAATAACATGAATGTGCTTGTTAAAACTCTAGTTCCCAGGCCTTCTTGAATCAAAAATTAGAATAAAATAAAATAAAATTTTATCAAGAATCTTAGGTGCTTTTTATGCAACTAATATTTGTTTTTTTTTTTAATTTTACTTTAAGTTCTGGGATGCATGTGCAGAACGTGCAGGTTTGTTACATAGGTATACATGTGCCATGGTAGTTTGCTGCATCTATCAATCTGTCATCTAGGTTTTAAGCCCCGCATGCATTAGGTATTTGTCCTAATGCTCTCCCTCCTCTTCCCCTCCTTATGCAAGTAATATTTGAAGGCAACTACTGAAAATCTCCAGGAGCCAGCTAAATTAGACCACATGCAAGTATGGACTAAGGTATGTAATTATTGGCCATAATATCATATATAGGGATTATTCATCAATTTATATAGCATAAAGCTATGAATTAAAGAAGTGAGTCTTTTAAAACATATCGTTATTATTAACCATACAATTTACAATTATCTATTCTATAGAAGAAATGACCCAAGTCAATGTTATTATAGTAGTACATATACATTTAGATGTTATTGCCTAGTAATATTGATCTTTAACCTACATATTGGTTGTTACTATAAAAATCACCATACCATATGCTGCCTTTATCTTCCTCAGGTGAAGAGATGCACAAAGTCCCAGAGTTTATAAAATAACTTGAGTAAGCCAACCTCTAATTTCTGATATGTCCATAAAAAAGCAAGGGGACAACACTGATGATAGTCTTCTCTGAGTCTTTCAAAGCTGAACACTCATTTTGCAAATACTGCCACCAAATACTGCCACCACCATTGAGCTCTCTGGAAATATCCTGTCAAACACTTCATCATGAAAATGTCCCTTTGACTTATGATTTTTACCTAACCTAAGCCTCTTCCTATGCTTCTGCAGTCATATTTGGTGTTTTCTTCATTAGCTTCTCTTCCTTTCCTGCCCTCCACTCTCTTGTAATGTACATCTTAGAGACTGGCTCTTCTAGAACCCACCCTATATATCCCACAGTAGTCCACAGATGAATACATGACTTCCCCTCCTGTATCCCTTCTGTTGGTAACTGTTATAAACATTCTGCTTCAGCCAGAAACCCAGGAATCATCTCAATTTTTCCCTTTCATTCATTTGGACAAATATTGGTTGGGCACCTAGATAAGGCCTTCTTTTAGGTGCTGGGGAAGCAGTTATTAACAAGACAGACGAGGTCCTGGTCTCTCTCCATTTCATCCCCCATGTTCTATGAAACACAAGATCTCTCCATTTTACTTTCCAGTTACTTTTTGTTTTTTTCTCCTTCTTTCTATTCTCATTGCTCCTGGCTTCTCTGTCACACACTATTGCAATAGCAATAGCCTCATTTCTAGTCTCTCCGCTCAGTCATGTCCTTCTTCCCCTCTATTCTCCTCTTTGTTACATGGGATGGTTCTAACATACAAGTCCAAACATTTCTTAGCTAATCAACATGTTTCATCATAGCATACCACCTAAGCTCCTCTGCATAATATACAAAGACACTTATCAAGCCCCTACCCATTTGCACAATCTCCTTTGGTTTCATTCCACCCCATACTTGGCAATATTAGCACATGTGTACATCCTGTGTCATGTGACTGTGTCCCCCACTTCTGTGCAGGCTGTTCCACCTTCCTGAGCCACCCATGCTTCATAGGCATGCCTCCAAAACACTGCCCTTTAAGTCTCAACTCAAAAGATCATTCTTCTTTGAGTCTTTAACTCTTCCAGAAATTTTTGTTTGTTTTTTGAGACGGAGTCTCGCTCTGTCACCCAGGCTGGAGTTCAGTGGCAGGATCTTGGCTTACTGCAACCTCCATCTGCCAGGTTCAAGTGATTCTCCTGCCTCAGCCTTCTGAGTAGCTGGGATTACAGGCACCCACCACCACGCCCAGCTAGGTTTTTTTGTATTTTTAATAGAGACGCGGTTTCATCATGTTGGTCAGGCTGGTCATGAACTCCTGACCTCAGGTGATCCACCCACCTCAGCCGCCCAAAGTGCTGGGATTACAGGCGTGAGCCACTCCGCGCCCAGCCTCTTCCAGAAAAATTTAACAATTAATCTCACTGCAGTTCATTGGTAACAATTCTCATACCTTTTAAAAACTATCTGGATATCTTGCAAACCAGAACCACTACATTCCTTTTATATCAATAGTGGCTGTCACATATAAATACTCAACAGTTTTTTAAAGAATGAATATAAAAATGCATGGTCCCTGATGTGGTAAAACTTACAATCAATTTAGAAAAGCAAAACACAGGTACTTAAAGTTTTGTTAATTAACAACACTAAACCAGGAACCATGTCTGGCACACACAACCTCTATCACAATGTCTAATACGTATCTGGAATATAAATAGCACTGAATGCAAAGATATACGTAAGTGATAGAAAACGTGGAAGTCAGAAAGTAGAAATCTCATCCAGTGAGAACCGTCAGAGAACAGAACACATCCTCCAATGTGTTTCTCATCCTTCCCTTTCACTTTGAGCAATCCTCCACAATTAGTGCTACAGCAGCCCAGCTGATATTTGCTGTTCCATTCTCCCCCGCCCAGGCTCAGCTTCTCGACTCCAACAGTGCATAAACAACCAGTTCATGCTACCTGAGATCCATCGCTCTCGTTCAGTCCACCGTCAAGCTTCCTCTTGCCTGGAATTCCTGCCCTAGTCCTCTTTACCTCTCCCAGTACCTACTCATTCATGTAATGTTCTCTGACAAACTTGGATCTCTTATATTCTACCTACACAAAGCCTACATAGCACTTGTGGTTTTATCCTATAATTTGGTATCTAATTAAATACTGTTTTGTCATTTACAATCACTGCTTTGAATTATATGAAGGTACCATTTTCATAAATCAAAGCATTAGAATAGCAGCAATTTCATAATCTTAATCTTGTCCCTCAACAAGATTAATCATAAATTCTTTCCATTTCTTTTGGATTCCCAGCTGCATCATTCCTGTGCTGGATAGTTGGTGAAAAATCAATAATTACATGTTTATTTATTATTTCACTAACTGAAAGTCTCTCTGTGGACAGAGGCTATCCTAGTTAGCTAATAATGCTGTGTAGGCATTGATTGATTCGGATTGTAGTGAAGAAGTTAGGATCTGATCTAAATGAAGGGGGAGGGGAAACATGTAGCACTGTTTGAATCATTGAAATATAAGTTAAAATCTCAACTGTAGTTTGTATTAAAATTATATAATACAGTAATAAAAAAAATTTAGGAGCCGGGCACGGTGGCTCATGTCTGTAATCCCAGCACTTTGGGAGGCCAAGGCGGGTGGATCACCCGAGGTCAGGAGTTCAAGACCACCCTGGCCAACATGGCAAGACCCTGTCTCTACTAATAATACAAAAATTAGCTGGGTGTGGTGGCAGGCACCTGTAATCCCAGCTACTCAGGAGGCTGAGGCAGGAGAATCACTTGAACCCGGGAGGCGGAGGTTGTGGTAAGCTGAGATCGTGCCATTGCACTCCAGCTGGGTGACAAGAGTGAAACTGTCTCAAAAAAAAAAATTATATATATATATATATATATATATATATATATACACACATATACATATATATATATACACATATACATATATATATATATTTTAGAAGAAATATATTTGACTTCCTGGAAATTTGATCTATGCACCTAAGCACTTTATGCACATAGCTGTCAGTCACCAGCATGTAGATCTTCTATGCTGTGGTAATTATGAAAGGTTGCCTCATATTTTCTGCCAAATAATTTCTTGTTTGCTTCAAGCCCTTAGTTATAAACTGTAACAGAAATAAGAGTGCATAAATATAGCTTGATTATTTTCCTGTGGAAAAAAAATGAAATGAATGTCACCCTACAGAACAGAAAAAGAAAATTGAAGCAGGGAGTGTCACAGAAGCAATCAGCTCAGCCTGTTCTTCAGAGAGCCCTGGTAGGGATCAGGCAGAAGGAAGATGCCTGATGAATGAGAGCAGGCTATGGCCAATTCCCTAATGTAACACATAGTTCAATTGCACAGCACTGAGGTATTTTATAAACAAAACTGACAGTGTATGCCTATATTCAATTTTTTATAACAGAAAAATGCTCATTATTTTATTCTGTAATCACACCAGGAAGACTAGAAATCATGAGAATTTTCTTCCTGAGAACCTCAAATTATCAAATCTTGGTTTTCATGGAATCAAATATCCTGTACTATAATGTCAAAATTGTCTGTTTTAAATTATTTGAGTCTTTTAAAATAGTTTAAAAAGAAGTTAAGCTATTCACTTTCCCGACTGACTGAGAAACACATAAAAATTGTCACATGTGACTAGTATTCAAACAGGGTTAGAAATGACAAAGATATACAGATACTTGCAAATCTTCCCCCATCTTTTTTTCAAATGTATTTCTGAAGAGGGAATATACACTTAAGGATGGTTCAAAGTGGGTAACCTTGATTTCACAGGGGAACACTATACTTGCAGTAAGCCCATGTGGTTTCATCTTGTGGAAATTTAAGTTTACCCACAAACTGGTGCTTACATCCCTTATTTTCACAGTCTCATCTCTGACAGCAAGAGAGATACAGATTTGCCACTTTTTCTAGTCTCACCTCCTTTTGCTCAAGAGATATAAAAATGTGGGCCATATGTAGCCCCAAGAAATGCATTTTATCACATTTTCATATTCTCTGAGCATAGCACTGGATTTGTTGTTCCTATCAACCCTTCCACACTGTCTGTTCACTAGCACAGATGGAAGTCAGGACACCATATTAATTTGGCCACAAAAAGAGCCAGTCTACATTGCCTACATTTTAATGGTTTTAATCCCATGAGGTAGACACTATATTGTATCCATTGTGCTCAATGGCTAATGATGAAACATCATGGTCATGGCTGTACATGGTTCTAATGCTCTCAAAACCCTAGAATATCCATAACTGAATAGTCCCATCAACAGAACAGGAAGCCAAAAGTTTGCCACTATGAACAGGAGCTATACAGGTCTAAGATAAAAAGAGACTATATGCTCTTTAAGAGTTAATCCAAAATCTTTAGTCATCTTAATTTTAGTTTAGCATCCCCTAAAGTAGAGACTGTAACTGAATATGGGATAAAAATGGCTCAAATGTCTAGAATCCTATATCACTCGATACATCTTGTTCCGGCAGTAAGGACTTTCACTCGTTTGGGTCTTGTTTCTCACGTATCGACCTAGATATATATTTTTTGTTTTACTTTAGTTTTGATTCTAATTGCATAAACTTCTATAATTTTCCTAAGACCTTTCACACTTATTTAACTTTTCATTCATATCTAATTTCACTTTCTTCCTAAAAACTGAATATACCCTCTCATAGCCAGTTGAAAAGACAACTGAAACTCAATTAGGTTCATCTGGGTGTCTCTGTCGCAGAATCATTATTTTGTTATATTAAGAATATTTAATCAAAAGATCGTTTCCTTCTTTCAGAAATCAAAAGGCATTACAAGCCCTAGAACTATAATCAAATATGGCTGCAAAAATATCTTCACAAAACATTCCTCCAGATGGGAACTCCCACCAGTAATCAAGCGCCATTCTGTAAGCAATATTCATTTGGTGGGAGAACCACAGCACCATCGTTGTGGCTCCTCTTACATTTTCTCTTTCAGCCTTGACAGGAAAGGAAGAAGGGAGAAGGAAAATTTACTTGTCACTTAGAATTTCTTAATCCATTTGGAAATATCTTTTAAAACACTTGAAGTTATTCCTAGAGACAATCCTATGAGGTGTTATCTTTACCAGTTTTTTCAAAAGAGTGAGATAACTGGAAGTGAGCAGCCAAAACTTAAATTAGCAAAATGTCCAAGATTACACGCTCATGTCCTTGTACTACTTGGGACTTTGCTGAACTCTGCAAAGTACATTATCATATTTAGAGGAATAAATTAAATTTAATAAATGATACTATTTTACCATATTAGAATAATAGTTTGAAGAAATAACAAATTACAACTATTATTCCTTTACTATTAAGTCTTTCCTTCTAAATGAAATACTTTAGGAAATTTAATCTATTGGAATTAAAAGACTGTTGGATCATCTGAATGAGGATTACCATGTTTCTATGATGTTAAAAGTCACAATATTAACCTTTGCATTAACTGGAATATGCTGAAATACACATGGATCTCACAGCACTGTCTATATAAATGTTTTAGAGTCCCAATATGCCCCTTCAGAACAATCCGAGGAACAGCTTCTAAACCATTGTGAACCCTTATGTAAAGAACTTGAGAGTGAGCTTCTGCCACTTCCAGACAAGTAGTTCTAATTTCTGGGGTACGCCCTAAGCACATCAAGTGAGAACACAAGCATGTACCACTTCATAACTTACAACACACAATGATTAGTGAGAATCAGTAGGAGAAACAGCAGGACGGGTGTGCCTCGAAAGTCTCTCCAAAGCACAGACTTGAATTACATCTTTAATAAATGAGTTTTATGCTTCCTTTGAGGGTTTCATTAATGAATCCATGGCTTGAACCACTAGCTACTCTTGTCCAGGCCATCCTTCAAGGTGGAACTAATTAGACCACTTCTAATTACAGTTACTTCATGGGCATGTTTTTTTTCTCATGAGAATTTCATAATGATTACCATAAGGCACTCAGGGTTGCCGCACAGTTCTGACAATTTTCTCTCCTTGTTATGTTTCTCTCTTTTTCCTTCAGGTCAAGCTGACTTGCACAGTTTCTCCTGGGCTTACTCTCTGAAACCTTTGATTCTTTTCCTCCTTCCTATATAATAGATTTCCCCTTCTCGTTCATACATGCAAATTAAATCAGAGGCTGTGCTGACAAGGTTCAGCCAGGTTGGAGAACTACCAGTATAAATAGTAAAACCTTTAGGTTTAAAATCAAACCACCTACGGAAAAATCCTGCAAGCAGACCTAAGTAATTTAGGGAAAAAATACCATAAGCTTAACTATAATTATAGGCTTGTGACAAAAACATTTTTTCATATTTGCTCCCAAGGTTGTATATATTTAAGATCTGTTACTATCACTACCACCCATACCTTCTGCATCAAACTTTTAAAACCCATCTGAGACTGCTTAGAATGTCCTGACACTCTTGTCTCAACTACTTTGCTCTTTTCTTTCAGAATATTCATAGCAGCATCCTTTACCTTGTTTCCATGTTTTATCATCATTCCCATCCCTAACAATGCCACCATCCACTTCTTCACCTAGACTAAATCCTTGCTTCCATTAATAAATCACTATTCTTGGTGCATTATGAGGCCAGATGGTATTCTGACCACAGCATCTCATCTTGTTGCCCCATGAGATTTGCTCTAACCAATCTTATGAGTTGCTGTTATAATGCTAAGCATGGCTTGCCACAACATACTTACTTTGAAACTCACTGCTTAATGGTGCTGATGGAGTTGTTATGACTTTTCTTTCTAGCCAAAGAGAGATCCAGTTTTTTTTCCTGTGCATTCTAAAAGGATTTTTATTCACTTCCCAGATCTTGATATGCTTAACTACTATTCATGTAGAGTCACTTCCTATTGTTTCCTTCCTCCTCTTTTTACTACTTGCACAACATAATCTCTCTAAGTCCTTTCTTCTTAGCACCAGCTCTGAAGCAATATCCAACAAGTATCTCTTGCCTTGTCTAAAAATCTTCCTAGGGCTGATTTCATTAAGATTCACTGTGGGTTTGTGTTCTGCATACCAAATGAGCTTGGTTCCAATTCTTTTCATGAAAAAACTCTCACCATGTCAATTGCTAAACATTTCTACATGGCAATACAAATGTGGATTATCACCTGTTGCTTTGTGACTTGACAAATATAAAAATATAAATTGCTCATATATTTCCCAAAGCTACTCATAGAACAATGTTTTATAGAAAGCTGAATTTGAGAATGAAATAATTCTATAGCATTGGTGGTTGTTTGAATATGCCATTGCTTATGTTATTATGGGCTGTTAAGCCAAGAACGTCCCATTACAAGAAATTCCAGGAAAGTGACATAAGACATAAATAGATGTTTAAAAATGATGCCTTCAAGTCATTTCATTTCACCTCCATGTTTGATCCTCCAAAATTTTTTAGTTGGATCAAAGTAATGCACTGAAGCAATTTGGGCTATAGCAAAAACAAACAAACAAAAAAACAAGAAAGAAAAATTGTACTACTTCTGTTCCCGACCCAAGAGGCTAACTAGGAGCCAGGAATGCCTGCTTCCCAGACTTTATAAAATGGGGGAATGAAATAAGGTACACAAAGTTATGGTCAGGCCAGAGTTACTGAGAAGAGGAAAGAAATATGCATTTATTGAGTACCTACTATGTGCTAGGTTGGCAGTGGGCTAATGCTTACACATTAAATCTCACTTAATCCTTAGAATAATCTGAAGAGATATTATTATCCCTTCTTATTTCCCAGAGAGAAGCATTTGGGAAGGGAGTGCTGAAGGTGGGAGAGAGGGGCACAACCACAGTCAGACTTGTTTCTCCTTCTCTGCTGCATGGACAGTGTTTAAGAGCACAGGCTCTGGAACCAGGCTGTCTTCAGACTCAGACTCCACCACCTAGCAGCCACATCGCTTTCAGACATCCATGTGTGCATCAGCATCACCCCACACATACTGCCCTGACAGGTTTCAGGTCTCATCTACATACAAAGGCTCTAAGCGGCCTCAAATGTTCAGGAAGGTCTCATTTTCATTTTGTTCTTTCCTGATTTGTTTTATGATGACACCAAGGAGAGACAGCTACATAATTTGTGGGACCCATTGCAGAATAAAAAGGCAAACTCCCTTGTTCAAAAAGCAGGGAGAAATGCCGTTAAAGGTACTAAAATATAAAGCATTTTTCTTTCTTCACTGATCTCTCAACATTATAATGACTTAGAATGAGTAAGAATAAGCTTAGAATGACTAAGCTTAACTTAGAAAGTCACCATAATGTCTTTTATTTGCATTTATGTCATTCTAAGTTAAAAAATTAAAATATTAAAATTTACCATTCATTTTTATATTGTGCAACGCCACTTTAAAAGGCAAATAGAAAAGTATTTAATGCACATGCAAAATCACCAAAATTACTCAATTGATCTTTCAAAGCTTGTGCATGCATATGTACTTCCTTCTTAACAGAACACCAGAAACACTACACAAATCTAAGTTAACTGTCTTTATTTCAGTTCTTGATATACACACATTCTATCAACACTCTCGACCTTTGGCTACTGATGAGTAAGGTAGGAGTGAGAGGAAAAGGAATTGTGGACTTCCCTCTCTTTCTGTTTTCTTCTCTATCATCATTTTCAGTGTAAATAATTAGCTAATACAGAAAAGTAGTAGGAGTAATGATGAAATAATAGGGTTCCTTGATGATTCATGTTTCTTAGACCACCACTCCCTTCTTCCTGCATTTGAAGTAAGTTCTGGCCCAAATGGAGCATGGCCTCTTGGGGCTGTCAGATCCCCCACTTAGTCATTAAACATAATATATTTACCTTGTACTCATTTTGCGTTATCACTGAACTCCCAGTACTGTGGGAACTTTGTTCTTGTGGGATATCACAAGCCTTACATGTGAAAGAGCAAACATGCATATTGTATTTATGGGTCTCCTCTGTTACCACTCATGTTTGTTGCTTCATGGACTTCACTTTCAAAACACAGTTCAAAGATAAAAGTATTAAGAATTTCAAGACAGTGACACAGAGCATTAAACCAAGCAACGGGGCCCTTTGGAACTTAAAGCCCCATGCAACTGCACAAGTTTCATGCCTTGGCCCTCTTACAGTTACTAATACCAATCAGGCCTTATTACGAAAAAAAAAACAGTTGGGGATTCTGTTAAAAAATATTTCTAGGATCTAGCTTCAAAGATTCTCATGCAAGTGGTATAAGACAGGTTCTAGAAAGTGTATTTTTGTTTTTTTATATATATATATTTTTATTATACTTAAAGTTCTAGGGTACATGTGCACAATGTGCAGGTTTGTTACATATGTATACATGTGCAATGTTGGTGTACTGCACCCATTAACTCGTCATTTACATTAGGTATTTTTGAACCATTCCCTAAATGATTGTAAAGGACTTCTAGGTTTGGAAACACTCTAGAACAATTCCAAGTCACTTTCTAGGTACCGGCTGTGACAGTAAACTGCTTTTCTTCCTCTTATCTACTCCATCATTTACTACCAGAGTTGATACTCAGGGAAGATCTAGAGTTGAAGGAGTAGCAGAGGAAAGGAAAGCAACCTGATGGACTCATGGCATGGGAATAGTATGCTATCATCTGCTTGATGGGTGATTGGTTCCCTGGCTCTCCTTATCCCCTCCTCTTGGTGCATCCCCAGTCCTTTGCCCTGGGACAGGTCTGTAGGCAGGAGCACCTATAAACTAAACTCAGCCTTTTCCCCCAGACTGTTCCTTTCCTAGGGTCCTAACTCCATGACTGACCCTGCCACTGCACCTGGTTCTTTAAGCCAGATTCTGCAGAACCACCTTCTCTCTCTTCCTCAACTCTTCCTCAGCTCTTCACCCAAATTGATCTGTCCTTTCAAATTTTCCTTCCAAATCACAAGCAAATTTCCTCCCATTTTTCTGACCCCTCTGTCACTACCTTAATTTATTTAGGTGTTTAATGTATTTCAGTATCATTTCCTCTTCTGAATCACTTGAATGACTTTCCAATGAGCCTCCTTATGTACCTCTATATTCTATCCTCAACATTACTAGAAGATTCTTCTAACATCCAGATCTAATACACTTCTCTTATTCAAAATCCTTTCATGATTCCTAAGAGTCTCTGGTAAAATACTTACATCATTCATTGCAGCATATTAGACCCTTAAAGATATAGCCCTTTCTCCCTTTTCAGTTTCCTTTCCTGCCACAGGCACTAAATGCCAGTCAAGCCCACATCCCAGCAGTTCTTCTTCTTTTTTTTTTTTTTTTTTTGAGAGGGAGTCTCGCTCTGTTGCCCAGGCTGGAGTGCAGTGGTACGATCTCGGCTCACTGCAAGATCTGCCTCCCAGGTTCCCGCCATTCTCCTGCCTCAGCCTCCTGAATAGCTGGAACTACAGGCATGCGCCACCACGCCCGGCTAATTTTGTTTTTGTATTTTTAGTAGAGATGGGGTTTCACCGTGTTAGCCAGGATGGCCAGGATGGTCTTGATCTCCTGACCTCATGATCTGCCCGCCTCGGTCTCCCAAAGTGCTGGGATTACAGGCGTGAGCCACCGTGCCCGGCCCCAGCAGTTCTTAAACATACCCTGTTCTTCTCCTTCTGGGTTGCTGCAAAGTTCTCCCTTCTGATTTAAACAGCACTCTTCACTGTATCCTCTTTTTTCATCTAACAAGCTCTTGCTTGTCATTTTCTGGGTGAGCTCAGAAACTGACTCAAAAACCACCTTTTTGCTTTCCTAACCCTCTTCCTCACCATGTCTTAATGGCTGCCCCCATTTGTTTCTATTCTGCTCTTCGTGGAACTTGAAACAAACCTCCTATCTCCTCCTGACCAGGCTGTCAAGGACCTAAGGATAATAATGATGCTCCTGGCATGAAATGGGTTCTCCATAACTGGAGGAAGGAGAGCACAAGACAGAAAGGAAGGATACAGCTGAAATGAATATGCCCTCCCACTACCTTACAGCTCGGCTGGCACAATACTGGCTCCACTCCCATAACCTGGACAATTTGAAAGACAATTCAGATCCCCTCCAGAATCTCTCAGAAAAATTCCCATTCACAACCCACAGAAAAATCTCATGTTTCCTCCTCCACCCCTCCCAATTTCTTCTATATCCCAACAGCTGCCTGAAAGACTATCTCCAATCTCTAGTATTGTTTTCTCCTTTCTGCCTTTCTAACTGCCTTCCTGAATCTATGTTTTCTCTTGAAACATTGAACTTTCCGTTTTAAATATACAACCCAGCTAACCTGATGCAGCATTGCAGGTGGGAAGAAATCACCAGAATGTGAGGAAGTGAAAAAGAGACTTGCCATAAGTTCCCAATGTACTCGGTCTATGGTAGGTCACTTAATACAGTTGCTCTTAACCATGACTGTATATATTAGACTCACCTAGAGAGCTTTCAAAAGTAACCCTGCTCAGGGCCCATGGCAGACCCTTTAGAAAAGCAGAGGCAGCGTTCAAGTATCTCTAAATAATATTTCTGTCTTCCACTTTCCAGTGCCTCAGGAAGCCCACCTCTCCACCCTATCTGGAAACCTACCTCCCTGTAGATCTTTCTCTCCTTTACCCTGATCAAAGTAATACTAGAAGCCCAGTCAACAGACAAAGCATCATTCCTATAAATGCAGAAGGAGGAGGCTGTGCATACTCATAATAAATTTTTTCTATGTCAAGGACTCAATTCAGCTTTTTCTCCCATGCTTAAACCTCTTACTTCTAGGGGGTTCTTACGTTCTTCCTCTAAGCAGAAGTCTTTGCCTCAGTTTCCTGACTGCTAGCCTCAGTATTGAATTCTTCTTTTGCCCCACCCACTAACACACCTTTCAGAAGCTGGGTGACGTATTTGGGTCTCTGCTTCCTGTGAACAGATCTCTTGCTATATACTGATGGATCATCCCAGAACTTCTTAATCCCGCCAAGGATACTGCTAGCACCTTCCCCTAGTGATTAATGCTGGGTCACTCCCAACCACTTCCTTTGTCCCGTGGGTCTTTAAGAACTGTCTCCTGAGTGTTCTGGGTCCTGGAACTCACTGTACTGCATGGATGGCTCTGAACTAATGGAAGGAGAGAGAGAAGAGGGAACACAGAAACAATCCACCTTTAAATGGTCATGGGGCATGGTTAAGAGCTTTTGTAATAGAATAATGATAACATATTCTTAGCAATCATAGGAATAAATTGGTCTTTATCCTATTCTCAAATCATAGAAAGAACTTCAAAGCTGATGCTAGGTCATCTCAGCCTTTTGAATCTCGTTAGCTACCGGAGCAATTCTACTCCATTGTGAAGTTCTCCTTATTGTAAAGTGCACACTGAATTTCACTCCGACAAAAGGAGATTTTAATCCCATTCAACTTTTTAGTTGATCATTGATCATTCCCCAGGTTGACCAGAACCCTCATGGCTTCAAAGACATAAACTCTTGGTGCTCTGTTTCTGGGGCTGGGAATAACAACAGCCAGTTGCACATATACCTAAATGCTGACTAGAGACTAAATATGTATTATAACTTACCATACTGATCTGTAATTCAGAACCAGTCAGTAAAATAAAGCTGACGGAACTCCTGAATTTCCTCTCAGTGAGCATTCCCCATGTGTCTTCTCATTCCAGGGTTGAATGGCGATGACTTCCTGGCTGTGGGCCTGCTCAATGGCAGTGTGGTTTATAGTTATAACCTGGGGTCTGGCATAGCAAGCATCAGGAGCGAGCCCCTCAATCTGAGCCTTGGAGTCCACACTGTTCATCTGGGCAAGTTCTTCCAAGAGGGCTGGCTGAAGGTAAAGAGTCATTCCTTCGTCACTTCCACAAACTGAGAGCACTAGTATATTGTCAGATCTGTGCTAAGATACAGAGGTGAATAGCCCATGATGCCTACATCCACGAAGTTCACAGACTATTGTACCAACTAGGGGAATAGAGAGATGATTACAATTAAGTGGTGTGAGAACAAATAAGAGGGATTACTAACACAGATAAGGGTGAGAGAGAGGATTCAGAAAGTGCTTCCCAGAGAAGGTGATGCTTGAGCGTAACTTCAAATAGGAGTTAAGAAAGAGAACAATGGCCAGTATTAGCTTAAGGAATGCAAGTAGTTCAGCATGGTTTTTAGGTTGGGGGATGGGGGAGCTAGAGAAGTGGTTAGAGACAGATAAGGTCTATATTATCAAAGGGCTTAGATGTGCTAAGAAGTTTATATTTTTATCTAAAGAACTATGAAGAGCTACTTAGGAAGGTGGGTACCATGTTGATTTCTAATTTTTGATAAAGGACTCTGGTGGTTCTATGGAGAATTGATAGCAGAGGAGGAAGGCTAAATGGAGGGGAATCAGCAGGATGCCAGCACCTAATCTTTGAAGAACTTTGATTTTGATTGAAATGCAAAACCATGACTGCTATATTAATATATCCCTGGTAACAGACACCAGCAGAGAAGCAGAGAATTGAGTGGTATCATGTTATTTCTTCAAAATTCAGGTCTTTGTAAATTTTTCATGCCAAGTTAATGGGAAATAACAAAAGAGTATCTTAACATTTCACCCTGGGGAATTAATTCCTTTTTTAATAGGTTTTTTTTCCCTTTCGAAGGTAGATGATCATAAAAATAAATCCATTATCGCCCCAGGAAGACTGGTTGGTCTCAATGTCTTCAGTCAGTTTTATGTAGGTGGCTACAGTGAATACACTCCAGATCTCTTACCAAATGGAGCAGATTTTAAAAATGGTTTTCAAGGTAAGGCATGGACATTTTTTATATTATACCTACTTATTTCAAATGTTGAGGGAAAAAAATATTTTAAAGAGTATACTTCTATTTCCCAAACCAGCTATATGGATTGCTTTCAGACTTGAACAAAGTTTGATTTTAATCAGAAACATTCATTTACTATTTTTTTTTTAGATGGAGTTTCGCTCTTGTTGCCCAGGCTGGAGTGCAATGATGCAATCTGGGCTCACCACAACCTCTGCCTCCTGGGTTCAAGTGATTCTCCTGCCTCAGCCTCCCTAGTAGCTGGGATTACAGGCATGCACAACCACGCCCAGCTAATTTTGCATTTTTAGGAGATGAGGTTTCTCCATGTTGGTCAGGCTGGTCTCGAACTCCCGACCTCAGGTGATCCGCCTGCCTTGGCCTCCCAAAGTGCTGGGATTACAGGCCATGCCCAGCCTCATTTACTATTTATTGACCACTTACTACATATGTACTAGATGTTTAGGATGTTTTAATGAACAAATCAAAGATTTCTGCACTTATAACTAGTTGGAGAGATAAACACTAAATGTAATTAGTTAATTATATAGTCATATAATGTGATAAGTTCAATGGGAAAAGGGAAATGGAGAGCATGATTTAAAGGAATCAGGATTATGGGTAATTGTTTATACAGGGTGCTTTTTAAAATAGGCTGAGCAGGGTAGACTTCAAAGAGTCACAGTAAAAATTGAAAGTCCATCTAACTTTGAAGTTCAAAAGGCAAGAGACAGACTGCAGTCAACCCATCCATACCACCAAGGGGTAGCCCACAGAGGCCAGAGCAAGCCAAGAGGATTAAGGACAACATTGTGCTTGGGTGAGCAATCTTATTGCCACAGTCTGTCTTCCTGTGTTCAAATAGTTCCGTGTTCAAATGAGATCAGCACACACAGAGCTGGCCCTTTCTCTTACAGAAACATTAAGATTGCACACTCCTGGAAGTATGTCAACTGCCACAGTCTTTAGTGAGTATGGGAATCTTGGGCAAGTCTTCTTGGAAATTGCCACTTATGCCACAGTCTTATAGAAAATTCAGGACCTTGAGATCCCCTAATTTTATCATTCTTCTCTTGGATCCTCTCTTAATGTCTGCCTTCCCTCCACTCTAAACTAGCATTTACTATTTATTATAAATCATGGCGTATTGTTACCAACTTACCAGGACAACCAAATTGCAACTGTACCATAAATCCATGGTTCCCAAAGCTGATCTCTACTGGTTCTGAAGAATAATATAGGATAACTTCTTAAAAACACAGATTTCTGAACCCTACCCAAGAACTATTGAATTGAAATCTTTACAGTGGGATCTAAAAATTTGCATTTTAACAAGCCTCCCAGATTTGGAAGCCACCATATATTTTTTAAATTATCTCTTTTTTTTTTTAACTTTAAGTTCTAGGATACAAGTGCAGAATGTGCAGGTTTGTTACATAGTATACATGTGTCATGGTGGTTTGCTACACTCATCAACCCATCATCTAGGTTTTAAGCCCTGCATGCATTAGGTATTTGTCCTAAGGCTCTCCCTCCCCTTGCCCCCCACCCCTTGACAGGCCCCGGTATGTGATGTTCCCCTCCCTGTGTCCGTGCATTTTCATTGTTCAACTCCCACTTATGAGTGAGAACATGAGGTGTTTCATTTTCTGTTCCTGGGTTAATTTGCTGAGAATGATGTGGAAGCCACCACATTAATTAATCATAACGAAGCAAAGCAAATGGAATTTTCTGAAAGAATTTAATAGTTGGAGTAAGGATATCACATTTGTCCTTAGAATTACAATTAAATAATGCAATAAAATATTATCTGATCTAGGCTTTTACATTTTTATAAACTCTTTATTTTTATTTTACTTTACCTTTTTTTTTTTTTTTTTTTGAGTCTCGCTGTGTCATCAAGGCTGGAGTACAGTGGTGCCATCTCAGCTCACTGCAACCTTCATCTCCAGGGCTCAATCAATCCTCCCACCTTAGCCTCTCATGTAGCTGAGCCACTAAACCCAGCTAACATATCCTTACAAAGCTGATTTATATTGTAGTAGAGTTATAAAATAAAGACATGCTTTAAATTGTAATAACAATTCATTTGGTGAAGATAGCTTTTTGGTAGATCCTAGTCCCAGGGTACTTGGTCAAAGGTCTGTTCTTATAGTGTTCTCAGTCACTCAACCAGGTCTGGCCTACTATCCATGAACTTGAGAACTGCATCATCACACCCAGTTAATTTTTGTATTTTTATTAGAGACAGGGATTTTCCAGGTTGCCCAGGATGGTCTTGAAATCCTGGGCTCAAGCCATCCGCCTGCCTCGGCCTCCCAAAGTGCTGGGATTGCAGGCTTGAGCCACCGTGCCCAGCCGATTCCTATAAACTCTTGATAAATAACTCTAATCCAAAGTTCGTGATCTAAAATATAAATCCTTACTGCTAATAAAGCACATTTGTTTTTGTTCTAAAAAATGGCTTATAATGAACCATTATTTTTTCTATGACCTTTAATGCTCATAAAGGTATTGAGACTAACCACCTTAAATAATCTACATCTGCCAAATACGCTGTGCCTTACTGTTTTATCTGCCCTAATAAGATCAGTTCTCCTCTCCTCTGCTTTCCAAAGTTGCATCTGCTACAAAGCTGCAGAGTTCTCAGAATGAGGCTCATGAATGGTGGTCTCAGACTGGGCACGGAATGAAGGAAGGAAGACAAGAAGATATGGAAGAAGGGAAAGGAGGAATAAGGGGAAGAAACAAGTAAAACTGGTTAGGCCACAAGTGAAAATAAGCTGGGTCCTTTCACTAGAAGTTCTGTTGCCTGTAGATAATCTTGCTGAGCTGTTAATTGTGCTAAAGGCAGCTATAGAAGCAGAATAACTGAAGTGAAACATCTCATCTTCACCACAAATGCCTTTTCTGAATATACTTCTTTACTTATTTCTTTTACTATTGCTACCAGTCCCTCTAATACTTGTTTGAATCCTTTGTACAGTGGTTCTCAAAATGTGGTCCCTGGGTCAGCAATATCAGCATCACTGGGAAGTTTGTTAGAGATGCAAATTGTAATTGAACCAGAAACTCAGGGAATGGGGCCCAGTAATATGTATTTTAATGAGCTCTTCAGGTGATTCTGATGCAACTGAAGTTAGAATGACAGGCTTACTGTCATCTTTGACTACTCACCCTTCCCTGATTAACTGACACATCATAACCCTATTGCCATGCTAATGAATTATACCATTTTCCTGCTCTAGAACGCAACAGACACCCTGTCAACTCTAGAATAATAACTGAATTTTTTACATGGTGATATGGTTTGGATTTGTGTTCCTGCCCAAATGTCATGTCAAATTGTGATCTCCAGTGCTGGAGGAGGGGCCAAGTGGGAGGTGTTTGGATCATGGGGGTAGATTTCCCCCTTGCTGTTCTTGTGATAGTGCGTTCTCATGAGATCTGGTTGTTTAATAGTGTGTATCACCCCCCTTCACTCTTTTCCTCCTGCTCCAGCCATGTAAGACATACCTCCTTCCTCTTCACCTTCCATCATGACTGTAAGTTTCCTGAGACCTCCCCAGCCATGGTTCCTGCATGGCCTGTGAAACCATGAGCCAATTAAATCTCTTTTCTTTATAAATTACCCAGTTTCAGGTAGTAAGTTACAGCAATGTGAGAATGGACTAACACCCCTGACATTCCAAAACCCATGTATTTTTTCTATACTTAACTCGCTTCCACTGATTTTTTAATTCAATAAAATCTATCTGTATTAGTCAGGCATCTCCAGAGAAACAGAACCAATCAGGTGTGCACAGAGAGAGAGAGAGAGAGATTTTTAATAAGGAATTGGGTCACATGATTATGGAAGCTGAGAAGTCCCAAAATCCACAGTCAGCAACCTGGAGACCCAGGATAATTGATGTGTAGCTCCAGCCTGAGTCTGAAACCCTAAGAACAAGGAGAGCAAGTGGTGTGAGTTCCAGTCTGAAAGCCATCAGGCTCAAGACCCAAGAAAAGCCAATGTTTCAGTCCAAGTACGAAGGCTGGAAAAGACCAATGTCCCAGCTCAAGTAATCAGGCAGGAAGAATTCCCTCTTTTTTGTTCCATTTAGGTCTTCAGTGATTGAATGAGGCCCACCCACATTAGGGAGGGCAATCTGCTTTACCCAGTTTATCAATTCAAGTGTTAATCTCATCCTAACACACACACACACACACAATATTTGACCAAGTATCTGGGCACCCCATGGCCAAGTCAGGTTGGCACATAAAATCAACTATCACTATATCTAGCCACTGCCTCTCTGTATGTCTTATTTTCCCTGCCTCAGGGCCCGTGCTTAAATCAGCATTCTCCACCTCTTCAAATTCCATTTGCCTGGAAAGCAAGCTCAAATCACACCTCCTCAATGAGAGCCCACTCTCTGAGCTCACTCATTGAGAGTGAGCTCTTTCTGAAGTCTTTGGAGCACCAAGTCTTTTCCCACTTAGCATTTCATACCTAATATAATTATATACCTAGAGAATGTATGTCTTAATTTAGAATTTAGTAAGCTTCTGGAGAATAGGATTTTTAGTTTTTACTGATAACAGATCTCCACAGCACCTGGAATGGTGCTTTCACATAATACATGCTTGTGACATGTTGTTACCACCAGATCTTTCCCAGACTCTCTTACAGCTATGCATGACCATGTGCCTGAGTTCTGGCCAGTGAGATGTCAGCAGGTGTAATAGTTGCTACTTCCAGGCCTTGCCTATGAAAATCTTCTGCACAGTCCTGTACTCTGTTTGCCAACTCACCTGGATGCCAACCCTAACCACCCTTTGGACTTTACATGAACAGGAAATAAGCTTCTAGTGTTACAGCAACTACTGCTCATTGATATGGAGGTTATTAAATATTTACTACTCTGAATAGAGTGGACATGAGATAGATTCAGATTTATTAACAACCCTGTAAATGAGAGTTATTCTCATCTAAAAATAGCCAACACGGTCAGTACTTTCGGTTTCTTGTGAGTTCAATTTTTTTCTCTCTCCTTTTTTTAATCATATGAGATTCTTCAAAGAAGAGCCCATATGGGAAAATGTAATCAGTTTACTGCAATAATTTAGAAACCCAGGATAAAAAAAAAAAAAGCTATACTGCAGTTTAAAAAAAAAAGCTATTACTTATTTGGTACCTAGTCAGTCAAATGGTTGGCTAAATGCCAACAAGAGAAAGCAGGAAAGATCTAAAATTGACACCCTAACAACACAATTAAAAGAACTAGAGAAGCAAGAGCAAACACATTCAAACACTAGCAGAAGGCAATAAATAACTAAGATCAGAGCAGAACTGAAGGAGATAGAGACACAAAAACCCCTTCAAAAAATCAATGAATCCAGAAGCTGGTTTTTTGAAAAGATCAACAAAATGGATAGACTGCTAGCAAGACTAATAAAGAAGAAAAGAGAGAAGAATCAAATAGATGCAATAAAAAATGATGAAGGCGATATCACCACCGATCCCACAGAAATACCAACTACCATCAGCGAATACTATAAACACCTCTACACAAATAAACTAGAAAAGTTAGAAGAAATGGATAAATTCCTGGACACATATATCCTCCCAAGACTAAAGCAGGAAGAAGTTGAATCCCTGAATAGACCAATAACAGGCTCTGAAATTGAGGCAATAATTAATAGCCTACCAACCCAAAAAAGTCCAGGACCAGACAGATTCACAGCTGAATTCCACCAGAGGTACAAAGAGGAGCTGGCACCATTCCTTCTGAAACTATTCCAATCAATAGAAAAAGAGGGAATCTTCCCTAATTCATTTTATGAGGGCAGCATCATCCTGATACCAAAGCCTGGCAGAGAAACAACACAAAAAGAGAATTTTAGACCAATATCCTTGATAAACATCAATGCAAAAATCCTCAATAAAATACTGGCAAACTGAATCCAGCAGCACATCAAAAAGCTTATCCACCATGATCAAGTTGGCTTCATCCCTGGGATGCAAGGCTAGTTCAACATACACAAATCAATAAATGTAATCCATCATATAAACAGAACCACAAACAAAAACCACATGGTTATCTCAATAGATGCAGAAAAGGCTTTTAACAAAATTCAACAGCTCTTCATGATAAAAACTCTCAATAAACTAGGTATTGATGGGATGTATCTCAAAATAATAAGAGCTATTTATGACAAACCCACAGCCAATATCATACTGAATGGGCAAAAACTGAAAGGATCCCCTTTGAAAACCGGCACAAGATAGGGATGCCCTCTCTCACCACTCCCATTCAACATACTGTTGGAAGTTCTGGCTAGGGCAATCAGGCAGGAGGAAGAAAGAAAGGGAATTCAATAAGGAAAAGAGGAAGTAAGATTGTCCCTGTTTGCAGATGACATGATTGTATATTTAGAAAACCCCATTGTCTCAGCCCAAAATCTCCTTAAGCTGATAAGCAACTTCAGCAAAGTCTCAGGATACAAAATTAATGTGCAAAAATCACAAGCATTCCTATACACCAATAACAGACAAACAGAGAGCCAAATCATGAGTGAACTCCCATTCACAATTGCTTCAAAGAGAGTAAAATACCTAGGAATCCAACTTACAAGGGATGTGAAGGACCTCTTCAAGGAGAACTACAAACCACTGCTCAATGAAATAAAAGAGGACACAAACAAATGGAAGAACATTCCATGCTCATGGACAGGAAGAATCAATATCATGAAAATGGCCATACTGCCCAAGGTAATTTATAGATTTAATGTCATCCCCATCAAGCTACCAATGACTTTCTTCACAAAATTGGAAAAAACTACTTTAAAGTTCATATGGAACCAAAAAAGAGCCCATATTGCCCAGACAATCCTAAGCAAAAAGGACAAACCTGGAGGCATCACGCTACGTGACTTCAAACTATACTACAAGGCTACAGTAACCAAAACAGCATGGTACTGCTACCAAAACAGAGATATAGACCAATGGAAAAGAACAGAGCCTTCAGAAATAATAGCACACATCTACAACCATCTGATCTTTGACAAATCTGATAAAAACAAGAAATTGGGAAAGGATTCCCTACTTAATAAATGGTTCTGGGAAAACTGGCTAGTCATATGTAGAAAGCTGAAACTGGATTCCTTCCTTACACCTTATACAAAAATTAATTCAAGATGGATTGAAGACTTAAATGTTAGACCTAAAACCATAAAAACCCTAGAAGAAAATCTAGGCAATACCATTCAGGACATAGGCATAGGCAAGGACTTCATGTCTAAAACATCAAAAGCAATGGCAACAAAAGCCAAAATTGACAAATGGGATCTAATTAAACTAAAGAGCTTCTGCACAGCAAAAGAAACTACCATCAGAGTGAACAGGCAACCTACAGAATGGGAGAAAATTTTTGCAATCTACCCATCTGACAAAAGGCTAATATCCAGAATCTACAAAAAACTTAAACAAATTTACAAGAAAAAATCAAACAACCCTATCAAAAACTGGGCAAAGGATATGAACAGACACTTCTCAAAAGAAGACATTTATGCAACCAACAGACACATGAAAAAATGCTCATCATCAGTGGCCATCAGAGAAATGCAAATCAAAACCACAATGAGATACCATCTCACATCAGTTAGAATGCCGATCATTAAAAAATCAGGAAACAACAGGTGCTGGAGAGGATGTGGAGAAATAGGAACACTTTTACACTGTTGGCGGTACTGTAAACTAGTTCAACCATTGTGGAAGACAGTGAGTGGATTCCTCAAGGATCTAGAACTAGAAATACCATTTGACCCAGCGATCCCATTACTGGGCATATACCTAAAGGATTATAAAACATGCTGCTATAAAGACACATGCACACGTATGTTTATTGCAGCACTATTCACAATAGCAAAGACTTGGAACCAACCCAAATGCCCATCAATGATAGACTGGATTAAGAAAATGTGGCACATATACACCATGGAATACTATGCAGCCATAAAAAAGGATGAGTTCATGTCCTTTGTAGGGACATGGATGAAGCTGTAAACCATCATTCTGAGCATACTATCCCAAGGACAGAAAACCAAACACTGCATGTTCTCACTCATAGGTGGGAATTGAACAATGAGAACACTTGGACACAGGGTGGGGAACATCACACACTGGGGCCTGTCATGGGGTCGGGGGAGTGCGGAGGGATAGCATCAGGAGGAATACCTAATGTAAATGACGAGTTAATGGGTGCAGCACACCAACATGGCACATGTATACAGTATAACAAACCTGCAAGGTATGCACATGTACCCTAGAACTTAAAGTATAACAATGACAAAAAAAAGAAAAAGAAAGCTTTTTATGCCTCCAAAAAAAAGTTTTGAAAATAAAATTCAATCTTGCCTTTATTTTATCATTTTAAAGACCTTATTTCTGGTTGATGTTCCCATTTATTTGAAAGAACTTTGCAAATAAACTATAAGTAACTGCTAAAGGAGCTGAGTAAAATTACAATACATTTCAGGATTTCAAACACTTTCATTTCAAATTTTTCACTGAACTGTCCTTTTTATTTACATATATTTATCCAATCTTGGGGTAGAAAAGTTATTTTTGTTTGTTTGGTTTTTTTTTTTTTGAAACAGACTCTCGCTCTGTTGCCCAGGCTGGAGTGCAGTGGCGCGATCTCAGCTCACTTCAAGCTCTGCCTCTGGAGTTCACACAATTCTCCTGCCTCAGCCTCCCGAGTAGCTGGGACTACAGGCACCCGCCACCACGCCCGGCTAATTGTATTTTTAATAGAGATGGGGTTTCACCATGTTAGCCAGGATGGTCTCAATCTCCTGACCTCGTGATCCACCCGCCTCGGCCTCCCAAAGTGCTGGGATTACAGGCATGAGCCACCGTTCCCGGCCGAGAAGTTCTTTCTAAAGATGTATAGAAAGGCAAAATCTCTGAAAGAAAAAAGAGAAAAATGTGACAACATAAACATAAACTTCTTTACCTAAAAAAAAAAAAAACTACCATAGCAAAATTGAGTGGTAAATATTAAACTGGAGAAAGTTTATTTACCGTATATTACAAATAGCTAATGTCCTCATTATATAAGGAGACTCTCTTTATATACTATAAATACAAATTATAATATAAATTATGAATGACCAATAAATTTGTTAAAAGATTTTTGATACCCAACCAAAAACGGTAAAATAGTATTTTATTAGCTATCGCATGTAAAAATGAAATGGAATGGTAATCCCAGGCATGGTAGTGCCTGTGAAGAAAGGGGTATCCCAGTCTCCTGAGTCCAGTTGTGATCTATGGGGGACACTTAGGCATACTTCAAAGCATCTATATCTTTTCCCCTAGTAATTCTACTTCTAGAAATATGTACTAAAAATAATTTAAATGGACAAAGATATACACATAAGATATTCATTACAATTTTATTTCTAATAGCAAAAAGTATAAATAAGTCAATGGTATAATAATTATAGGTTTATTAAATATATTTTGATATAAGAAAATATGCCATCACTTAAAAATAGTTAATGCTACAAGAAAAAAGTTAATGTTATTTATGATGTTCAACTTTTTGGTATAATATTATATTTTCTACAGCTTAGTGCAGATTGCATTTTTGTTTAAAAGAAAATATGACTAAGCATAGAAAAAATACCACACACACACACACACCAAAATGTTAATAGTTGTCTGCTGTGAAATGATATCATGAATGACTTTTAAAAAAAAATTTCTCTGCGCATTTCTGTATTCTTATATTTCTTTTAAAATTTACATGTATTACTTTATTTTGAAAAACTTCTACTTTAAAAATGAAAAATAACCTTCTTCTTGTTTTTTCTATTTCTTCTGTTTGTTAACACGAAGTGTTTTTGCATTTCTTCAAGGCTGTATTTTCACTCTTCAAGTTCGCACTGAGAAGGATGGCCATTTCAGAGGACTGGGAAATCCTGAGGGCCACCCAAATGCTGGACGCAGTGTTGGCCAGTGTCATGCTTCTCCCTGCAGTTTAATGAAATGTGGCAATGGTGGGACATGCATAGAGAGTGGAACTAGTGTTTAGTAAGTATGACGTTATTAGGAATGAAAGTAGCAGGTTGTTTGCACTCTAACTGGTACTCCACTCTGTCATTCCACTTGTACAAACTAGGAACACAAACAGATGCACATATTTAAAATGTTCTTATGTAGACTTGTTACATGATGGGAGGACAGGTGAAGGCAACTAAAAATAGGATCAGCACAGCATTTATGCCATCTTAGTTCTGTGAAACAATGACAGTGAATCACTACATCTCATTCCAGGCACCATGAAAAATATCACTTAAATCCATACTATTGAGAGAGTAGACAGAAATGTTAACCACACAAAGGCTTACATATTGGGATTTGCTTTCATATGTAGGTTTGAGCCCCTTTAGAAAGGGCAATAGTAAAGCTACACAATTTGACTTCTGAACTACTTTAGTATGAAACCAACGTGGACCCATTGAGTGAGAAGGAAAAAAGAAAGGAGAATGTTTTTATATTAATTACTCCTTTTGCTGAGCATCTCGTCTATGCAAAAGTAGTATATGAGGGGTTCTGGGAATATGCTAAAGAAAGTGGAAGTAAGCACTATGTCATTTAATTTCTTACACTCTAGCTACTCATAAATTTCTTATGTCTCATACATGTATAAGACAGCTAAAGAGAGATTTGTCAAAATGCTCCTCACAGGACACAGTGTTCACCAGGAACACCGGCTCCCTGCAAAGCAGCTGGGAAAGAGGAGTGTCAGAGTTTCTCCTGAAAGACAGAGCCTACCCTGAAGAAAGCATAGTTTTAAAAGACATGAGTGAATCTCTTACTCTCCCTGAACAAATCCCCTCCACCTCCTCACTAGAAAATGATCAAAAGCAAAGCTCAAACAACTGCTAGTCACAGTAAAATTTGTGGAGAAAAAAAATGTATAGTTTGACTCAACCCATGGAATTCCTGAGGACAAAATGTAAGGCTTGGGATGCCACCATCACAGAGCAATAACTTTTGGCATTAGCTTTACCACTATAATTTTATCATTACTTCTCTACAATTTTTAATGAAACCTTTAGATTGCTTTACAAAGTATGCACTCTAATTTGCTCTACAACTAAACTTAATTAGAAGCACACGTTTACTTCACTTTATCTAAAGAGTTGTAGTCATTCTTCAGGGGTTACTACTAAGTATTTTGGGGGTTTTTTTATGTGATAATAAACAGGGATCTAGAAAGTTGCAATAGGAAAGCATATGAAGTTGAAGGTGAAGGTGGGGAATCCATCCCCACCCTACGTTATTCCATGTGGACCAAACAGCCTAACAGTTTGAACCTAAGAGCCATATATATTTATCTTGGAATATATAGTGCCAAGTATAGATAGGTACTTAGAACCATTTGCAGATTATTTTGATTAATATAGAAATTTTATTGAGTTCCGATATTAAACGTAATACCTTACAATTGCACAGGACTTTGTGTGTAACAAAGCATTTTTTAAAATATTATTTCCATTGCTCCTCACTAAAACCCTCTAAATTACTCAATGCCAGTATCCTAATTCCAATATTATAGGGGGAAAATAAGCCCCAGAGACTGTGAGTAATTCGAGAGGATGTATGAGCACCCTGTGAGTAGTACAGCAGGACCCAAAATCAGATCTTCCATTTCGAGGGTCAAGATTCTCTCCAGAATCTAAATAGCAAGAAATGAACTTAAAAACAGCAAATAATTTTAATGAGGTAACAAGAGTGTTAAGTCGCTCTTTATTTACTGGTTGTAACCTGTTCATTTCATCTTAATTTTAAAAAATAACGTTGAAATTATCTTCAGTTGGCACATTGTATTTTCTCCAAATTGAAAATACCTTTCTTTATAACACATATCCTGGGGATTTCATAGATTGCCGTGTGGGTGGAATGCAGTATCTCAAACATGAGGGCCTAAATTTGAGTAACAAATAGACAAGCAATAATGTACAGGGGGAAAGATACATCTGACAAATTTCCTTACAGGATTCTAAAAATTTTTCTTATCAAAATTGTGACCAGTTTGGGGATCCTCTTATTGACATAATTACAAAATAATTACTAACTATGAAGATATACTACAGAGCCAGAAGTAGCTCTTGTGACCATCATTTAATAACATTAAATTTACAGATCCCTGAACTTAAAACAAGTGAATTTTATGGTAAGTAAATTATACCTCAATAAAGCTGTTCAAAAATATTAAGTCTCCCATTCACAGACATTCAGATCCAGTGGCAGCAGCAGTTTAAAGAATTTTATTCCTTTTGACAGTTTTAAACAATTCTTTTCTAATCTCAATATAAGAATACCTCCTTTAAAGAAAAAAAAATTGTGCTTTGTAATATACTTTTCAAAAGTGTTTAAGAAGTTTATTTCTGTACTTATCCTAGTTACAGATTCTTAATTTTATATGGCTCTAAACTTTATTTTTCAACTGAAGCAGGGTAATATTAAATTGAATTTCTAGGTAGCCTTATAGACAGCTCAAAGCTAAAGTTTAATCTTTTCCTGAAAAATAACTAACACACCTTATGAAATATTTGTTAAATGCTCAAGAGGCAAGTACCAACACAGAAGCACCAATTTTATGGTGTTTAGAATCAATTGTAAAAGGAAAACCTCAAAGCTGATCAAAGGGTCTTAACAATGAACAGTTTAATGTTATAAATTTAAAACAACAACTCAAAATGCTCCCTTTAGCTCCCTTCCTCTTAGCTGAGATGGGAGGCATTGTTTTGGTACATAAGGGAAAGTCTTATTCCAAGTAAGGAGAGAGATGGGGCCTGATAAGGTTTCCAGTGTGTTCAGGACCCTGGTGAAGTGATGAAAGCCCTTCTCTCCTGCTCCGAGTTCATCACCACACACAGATCCATCTGTGTTCTAATGGAATTTCTCAAATGTGAGTATCATAAGGCAGAGTTCATTTCAGGCCTTTATGCTCCTGGGATGAGTTCTGATGCAACAAAGAAATGTAAAACTATTTCTGTTCTTAGTAGCCAAGGATAAAAAAGAAAAAAGGTTACATTAAAACAAAATTTTTAAGTGAAAAACAAAAAATGGGTTTAGTTCTTAGTTCTATGTGTGTATGTGCTTGGTAGGTGTCTTTTTTTTTTTTTTTAGGTAAATAAAATGCTTTAATTAAATGGCTATTTGATTCCAAACTAAAAATGTTTAGTGAGAAGAAAGATATTTTACATTTTTGCCAATTTCTTCCACCATGTCTAGCTTAATAGGTGTTTTTAAGCAAGTTTTATTTAAGTGGTACTTTTTTCCTTTATTTTCTTAATTGACAAATAAAAATTGGATATATTTATCATGTAGAACATGATGTTTCAAAATATATATACATTGTGGAATGGCTCAAATGAGCTAATTAACATATGCATTACCTCACATATTTATAATTTTTTCTGATTGGAATATTTAAAATCTACTCTCAGCAATTTTCAAAACACAAGACATTGTTACTAACCATAGTCACCATGTTGTATAGTAACCTGTGACTGAGGACAATATGCAGATGTGTCCCTTTAAGAAAAACACAGTGTAGCCCTGTCATCGTGGCTCATGCCTGTAATCCCAGCACTTTGGGAGGCCGAGATGGGTGGATCACCTGAGGTCAGGAGTTCAAGACCAGCCTGGTCAACATGGCAAAACCCCATCTCTACTAAAAAATACAAAAATTAGCCAGTGTGGTGGTGGGTGCCTGTAATCCCAGCTACCTGGGAGGCTGAGGCAGGAGAATCGCTTGAACCTGGGAGGCAGAAGGTGCAGAGAGCTGAGATCGCACCACTGCACTCCAGCCTGGATGACAAGAGGGGAACTCCATCTGAAAAAAAAAAAGAAAAGCAGTGTAGGAAAAACAAAACTTACAAAAACAAGTTAGATGTTAAAATGAGTGGCACAGACAATAAGTACAATAGGAGTTGGAAGAATGTGGTTGTAAAAATGTAAAATGCATCAAAGATTAAGTTCATAAATGAGGCTTATTTACAACATAAATCTATCAGTGATCACAAAATCTCATTGATTCAGGATTTCCTAATTATTTTTTGTCTTATAAATGCCTTTGAGCATCAGGTCAAAGCCAAAAACCCTTTCTCCTAAAAACTGAACATACTTGGAACACAAAAATGTGCTTATCATTTTAGAGGTTTACAAACCCCTAGAACCCAATAATAGATTCTCTAAGGTCTGCCAAAGTTCCCAAATTAAGCATCCTTTGCTCAGACTGTCTTCTTTTATATATTTTGTCCAACAATGCTTAATTCAGTCTTCTATTACTCCTCATCTGGACATGTAATTGTTTTCCAACTAGTGACCTGTTCCCTAAACACTCCTAACCTTAATCCAGGTTGAATCTTCCTAAAATCCTCTTTGCTCTTAATCATTTTCCTGCTCAAAATGTTTCCTGGTTTTCCACTGCCAATGCAGCAAAATGTAAATTTTTAATCTGTTGTCAAGCTATACATGACTGTTATCAACCTGCCTATTCCTGCTATTCTTTTTCTCTCTGCATTGCAATCAAATTAATTGTACTACTCTATCCCGCCTTCCAAGAAACCGCCTCTCCTTACCAAGCAATCAGCTGAGTTTCTTGTGAAGCTATGGCCAGCTTGGTAACTCATTACCTTGTACTGGTTCTCCTTTTTTCCTCCTCCCTTTGCTTTTCTCTCACTGTTGCTTCCTTGAGAGAGTACTCCCTACTTCCTTGGAATTACCTTTAACTCTGTCTTTTAGAGATTCCAATTTGAGGTAGATAATTTTTCTCACCTATGAGGTTGGCAAAAAGCTAAAAATATGACTAATCTATTAGTGAGGCTGTAGAGAATCAGACACTATTATGTATTAGAGCAAACTAATTTCTCTATTTGTTAAAACAAAGACTGGAAACTGCTCAAATGTTCATCACTAGGTATCTTGTTGAAAAAGCTAAGGAATGTTTATATAATGGAGGACTTCACATACATAAAAAAAAGACCTTTTATATGTTGCTATGGAGTGATCCTCAGGACTTATTAAGTGAAAAAAATCAGGGTAAAGAAACATGTAAGAAAAGGGGATAATAGATATAGATAAACAGATATAAATACATAAATATAGATACACATACAAATATGCTCATATTTTTCTAAGAAAAAAATGCAAGATTACACACACACAATTTATAAATAGTTATCTATAGGGTAAGGGAGAAAACAAGAAGTAGTAAAAGGATAAAAGCTAGACTTTCTAACTATAATTTGCTTTACAGTTTTTATTTGGAACCAGGTAAAATGTTTCACATGGTCAATTAAAAATGAAAAAGACCAATTTTTAAATACTGAAGAAAAATTAGGAAATGAACTGTACTTCAAGTTGGTAGCATAACCAAGCAGAAAAGATTTAGTTCAATTGATTTTAAAACACAATATTTTGACTATACAGTAGATTATAGCCTAAAGACAAAAAGAACCATAAAGAGATTCTATTGCATCCTGTAGTCTTGATGTTAGTGGTAACATTGATATTGTTATTTTAAAACTATATATAAAAATACCCAAATAGCATTATATTTATATAACACATAGATATATATAAACCAAATGAACAATTATATTAACATTAATCATTAGGAACTAGAATTTTCAGCATGAAAGAGATCTAGGCATAAAATCAAAGAAGTAAAAATCATTCTAATCCTTAATATGAACTGGAATTAATGTATGAACTCATTACTTAACTTTCTACTCAGGAGGCTGAGGAGGGAGAATCACTTGAACCCAGGAGGCAGAGGCTGCAGTGAGCCAAGATTGTGCCATTGCACTCCAGCCTGGGCAACAGAGCAAGACTCCACCTCAAAAAAAAAAATCTTTCTTTTTTTTTAAAAAATTTCCCAGCTATATCTGCTAAAAAGATTTAGAAACAATAACTCAGTATCAATGAACACTTCTAGTGCCAAAATTGTCATCTCCAAATACCATTTTCCACTAAAATGAACCAAGACTTCTTGGAGAATTGTACACTCAGCTCTAGGACAGAAAATACATAAGCCTAGATATCTTTTTATGCCTAAAAGCAAGAATGTTAACAAAGACAACTATGGTTATATTAAAAGACAACAGGAGCCTACTTAAAGAGACTCCCACTGGCCAAAGATGAGACATTTTCAGAAAATTATCTTTCCATAGTCAGAAAATATGGAAAACTTATTTGAAGAGTGTAGATTTTAAAATAAGCTCACATTTTTTGTTTCTTTATTATTTAAGTAGCTGGAAAATAAGAGTCAGAGGTAAGAATTCACTGTGGATTTTCATCAAGCCTCCCTACACTGTGGCTTAAGAGTAACCTCTTTTCTCTCGTGGTCTTTTTATAACTCAGATGTCAGTTACTTTCTACCAGACCCTTGACATCTACATAAATTGTGAAGATTCCAAAAGGAATGTTTATCTTCTAAAGTCATCTCTAGCTCACCAGTCTTTCACCCATACTGTGTATTCCATATCACAGATGCCTAAAAGCTACAATCAACTTCTTTAATTTCTATCAAATTAACAAAGCCATTTACATTTTTAGATCAGATTGTTTAGATTGGTGCAGGGGGTGGGGAGAGGTGACAATGTTGAAGGAAGAGGTTTATATCATGGCCACCTAAATAACTTCCAACTTGTCTTTTGGTCACCCCACCACTGCAGTAAATACATGGCAATTCCACTCCAGTTTTTGTCTTCTGTCCTTTGCTTTGCTTTTTTCCAACTGATCTGTAGGTTAAAACAAACCACAAGTCCCTCCTGGTCTCAGGCAGAGTAATTTATCATCTTATTTTGTAGTCCAGGCTCATGTTCATCCCAATGCAACCAGGGTCCACTGTCTACTCCAAGCAGCTCATGTAGTTTCCCAAAGACAGTTCTCTCCTTAATAGGAATTCTGAGTGCAACTGTTAACATACTACAGTGTTCAAGCCCTTAAACCTGAAGAACTACAAAATAAGGCCTACAGACAACTGCCAGTATTTTCATTAGTATGTAAAGAGTCATTTCATCTCATCCTTCTTACACTCTGTGAGGTATCACCAAGGACCTAGGTGAGTATCTCACCAGCAAAGAAAGGAAGGCCATAGGGGAATGTCAGCAGGTGGAGTGATTATTATAGCAACCCGTCCTAGTAAACATGTCGAGTTTCAATATGCCATCACATTCCAGTGTACGATGAGGTTCATTTGTTTTAACACTTGATTGTATATTCTTCAAAGACTTCAAATTTTGAGCATGTCATTTAAAATCCAGCAAATTTTGGCAGGTAAAATGTTATACATCATATCACACTTACCTTATTCCCCCAACTTGTTACTCAAATGGAAATAAGCCATAAAGGAAAGCAATTTTATATGAATTAAGTCATCCACACAGGAGATGACCTGAGAAGATAATTCAGCTATGTTTTCCTTTTTCTTTAAAGAGCAGAGAAATAAGTTATATATGCAGAACTAGATTCCTTTAGGTCGTGTGATCGCCCATTGCTAAATTACATGCGTTTATTATATTATTCATTTGACTTTATCATCACACCACATAGATTTTGTGTCTGTGCTTTTGCTTATGCATAGAAAACCCACAAATCTATAACCAGAACTTTTTTACAGATCCAGCTCAAGGTAAATTTTCTCCAATAACTTTCATTCTCTGTTCTTATCTCAGCCTCAACATATACATAAGAATCTCTCTTGTCCAAAGCATCAAAATCCATATTTGATAGGTAAGCTGAAAAAGTAGGCTAAGCAGAGATTATATTTTTCTGTATTAGCTTCTCATCTGCAATCTGAGAGCTAATAATAGTATTTACTTTGTAGGTTTTATATGGTGATTAAACTTTGATTAAGTACTACATCAAAGTACTTAAAATGGTGCCTGGCACTAAGGTAAAGCCCTAAGAAACTGAATATTATATTTTATATATATCATATATTTCATACAAATACATTATTCTAAATAAAGTAGCAAGTCCTCAGGGTGGGGAACAAGACCATGTTTTCTATTTTGTACTCACCTTGGTAACGAAGTACAATGCTGCTCTATATTCCCTCTTTGGTAATGTTTAGTAAGTGAATGATATTTAACAAAAAACATTAAATCTTCTATTATCTCATTTTCAGTTAATTTTTTATATCCATGTTCATACTAAACTCTTACAGTCTTAGACTTGCCTAAGTACAAGAAAATTAAAATCTTCATGTTGAATTTCTATAGTAATGAGGAAAAATTAACCCATAGAAGTTCTAAGCTATAAAATTGACGGTCAGAACTAAACAATTTATCTGCAATTTAGGAATTCAAATGAGTTTCATTCTAAATGCACAGAAGTAAAATAATTAACTATATTAGTAAGAACATACTCTAATATTCATCTCTTGATTTACTATCATGATGAGCTATTAATCACATTTCCAAAGTGTTTAACATTTTATTCTCTGCTATCATCTGTTTATGTTTGGAGACAGAAGAACCCACAAATTTTTCCTTGTACTGACAATTAAGGATACATAACATTTTTTGAATGGTCTTGAAATAAGAAAACAGTGCTCTGTATAATGTTAATGATTCCTCAGTATAATTTAAGTAGTCTTAGGTATTGTATGCCAGGTGCATGTGTCCCAGCTCTTTGCCTGCTAGTCTATTTAATTAAATCTGCCTTATGTCCTGAACTATCATCAAATTTATGAGCCATGTCCCTAGATGCTTATAGAAAAAAAAAAGCTATTTTATCACCTACTCTTACCTTCAATGCAGTCTAGCTAAAAGTGGGGTTTTTTTCAACTTTTCTTTTAGGTTCAGGGTGTCCATGTGCAGGTTTGTTACGTAAGTGTGTGTTGCCGAGGTTTGGTGTACAAATAATTCCATCACCCAGATAGTGAGCATAGTACCCAATAGGTAGTTTTTCACCCCACATTCCCTCCCACCTTCCTACATCAAGTAGTCCCCAGTGCCTATCGTTCCCATTTGTTTGTGTCCATATGTACTCATTGTTCAGCTCCTACTTATAAATGAGAATATGCAGTATTTGGTTTTCTGTTCCTATGTTAGTTTGCTTAAGATAATGGCCTCCAGCTGCATTCATGTTTCTTCAAAGGACATGATTTCATTTTTTCAATGGCTGTGTAGTATTCCATGGTATATATGTACCACATTCTCTTTATCCAGTACCCTGTTGATGGGCATCTAGGTTGATTCCATGTCTTTGCTATTGTGTATAGTGCTGCGGTTAACATACAAATGCATATGTCTTTTTGATAGAATGATTTATATTCCTTTGGGTATATAGCCAGTAATGGTATTGCTGGGTTGAATGGTCGTTCTAAGTTCTTTAAGAAATCTCCACACTGCTTTCCACAATGGCTGAAGTAATTTACATTCCCACTAGCAATGTGTAAGTGTGCCCTTTTCATTGCAACCTCACCAATGGCTGTCATTTTTTTTACATTTTATAATAGCCATTCTGATTGGTGTGAGTTGGTTTCTCATTGTGGTTTTGATTTGCATTTCTCTAACGATTAGTGATGTTGAGCATTACTTAATCTATTTGTTGATTTCATGTATGTCTTCTTTTGAGAAGTGTCTGTTCATGTCATTTGCCCATTTTTTTAATGGGGTTGTCTGTTTTCTGCTTGTTGAATTGTTTAAGTTCCTTATAGATTCTGGACATTAGACCTTTTTTGTTGTGTAGTGTGTGAATATTTTCTCCCATTTTGTAGGTTGTCTGTTTACTCTGTTGATAGTTTCTTTTGCTGTGCAGAAGCTCTTTGGTTTAATTAGGTCCCACTTGTCAATTTTTGTTTTTATGGAAATTGCTTCTGGGGACTTAGTCGTAAATTCTTTACCAAGCCTGATGTCCAGAATGGTATTTCCTAGGTTTTCTTCTAGGGTTTTTATAGGTTTAGATCTTAAAGTCTTTAGTCCATATTGAGTTAATTTTCATAACATATATAATGAAGGGAAGGGGTCCAGTTTCAGTCTTCTGCATATGGCTAGCCAGTTATCCCAGCACCATTTATCGAATAGGAAGCCCTTTCCCCAGTGCTTGTTATCATTGACTTTGTTGAAGATCAGGTGCTTTTAGGTGTATGACTTTATTTCTATGTTCTCTGTCCAGTTCCATTGGTCTGTGTGTCTGTTTCTGCACCAGTGCCATGCTATTTTGGTTACTGTAGGCTTGTAGTATAGTTTGAAGTTAGGGAGTGTGATGTCTCCGGCCTTGTTCTTTTTGCTTAGGATCATTTCAGCTATTTAGCCTCTTTTTTGTTTCCATATGAATTTTAGAATATTTTAATTCTGTGAAAAATTATGTTGGTAGTTTGATAGGAATAACATTGAATCTGTAAATTGTTTTTGTCAGTATAGCCATTTTAACCATATTGATTCTTCCTTTCCATGAGCAGGAAATCTTTTTTCATTTGTTTGTGTTATCTCTGATTTCCTTTATCAGTGTTTTGTAATTCTCATTGTAAAGATCTTTCACCTCCTTGGTTCCGTATTCCTAGGTACTTTATTCTTTTTGTGGCTACTGTAAATGGGATTTCATTCTTGCTTTGGTTCTCACCTTGGATGTAATTGGTGTATAGGCATGCTACTGATTTTTGTACAGCGATTTTATATTCTGAAATTTTACTGAAGTTATTTATGAGTTCTAAGAGCCTTTTGGCAGAGGCCATGGGATTTTCTCAGTATAGAATAGTATCATCTGCAAGGAGAGATAGCTTGAATTCCTCTCTTTCTATCTGGATATCTTTTCTTCTTTCTCTTGCCTGATTGCTTGGGCTAGCACTTCCATTACTGTGTTGAATAGGAGTGGTGAGAGTGGGCATCCTTGTCTTGTTGCAGTTCTCAAGGGGAATGGTTCGATCTTTCACCCGTTCAGGATGATGTTGGGCTGTGGATTTGTCATAGACTGCTCTCATTATTTTGAAGTATGTTCCTTCAATGCCTAATTGTTGAGGGTTTTTAACACAAAAGAAAGTTGAATTTTATCAAAGTCTTTTCTGCATCTATTGAGGACATGATATGGTTTTTGCTTTTAATTCTATTTATGTGGTGAATCAAATTTATCAATTTGTGTATGTTGAACCAGTCTCCATCCCAGGAATAAAGCTTATAAAAGTGGATTCTTTATGTTTTCCCTTTACTATATTGCTATCCAGTTGTCCCTATTTCACTAACAACACCATACTCTTTCATGGTCCCAACATTTCCACAGGATTGAGAGACATAAAATGGTGACTAAAAGGTGGATTTCCTCGCTCATTAGCAGACTTAACCTCTCTCTTCCTTAGATTCCTTCTCTGAAAAATGAGGATGATGCTAGTACCCTTCTTATAACATAATAGAGAAACTAGAAAGGTTAGAAGACTGCCTGGCACATGGTAAGTGACAAATAATGTTTGTCATTACTATAATTTTTCCTCTTTCATACTAACACACTTACCAAAGCCTTGAAAATGCCTCTCACATCTACTTCAACCTCTGCATCCCCACAGCAATTTTCCTATTCAGGACTTTTGCCTCCATCTGCTTTCTTATCCCAGCCATGACCTATTATATTTATTCATTTGTGTGTTTATTCCATGAATAGTCAATGAAAACTTACAATAAACCAAGAACTGTTTGGGGCCTTGAGACAATAATAAAAAACAAAACAGACCCTATCTCTGCTCTTACGGAATTAATGGTCTAGAGTGCCGGGGTCAGAAAACTATGGTAGATGGGCCAAATCTGGCCTACCACCTATTTGTGTAACTAAAATTCATTGGAATACAGCCACACCCATTTGTGTGTTTTCTGTGGCTGCTTTCAACAATGGCAGAGTTCGGTTATTGCAACAGTGTCTATATGGCCCACAAAGCAAAACTGTAAACTGCCTTGCCCTTTACAGAAAAAGGTTGCTGGCCCCTTTTCTAGTAGCAAAAAAAATATGCTAAGATCTCACTAAGATTAAAATTACGTCACCAGAGAGCTTATTGTTACACTATGCAGTCATCCTACACATAACAGATCAATATTCTTAAAATGTGCCTCCTCATTTGTGTCATTTTCTATACACCTGTCATGTCACTTGAAAGTTGAACTGAAGCCAGGCACAGAAAGGCAAACATCACATATTCTCACTTATTTGTGGGTTCTAAAAATCAAAACAGTTGAACTCATGGAGATAGAGAGCAGAAGGATGGTCACTAGAGGCTGAGAACGGTGGTAGGTAACAGGGAGGTGGGGATGGTTAATGGGTACAAAAAACTAGTGAGAATGAATGAGCAAGGACTAGTATTGGATAGCACAACAGGGTGACTATAGTCAATAATAATTTAATTGTACATTTTAAAATAACTAAGGAAGTATAATTGGATTGTTTGTAACACAAAGGATAAATGCTTGAGGGTATGGATACCCTATTTTCCATGATGTGATCATCACACATTGCCTGCCTATACCAAAACATGTCATGTACCCCAGAAATATGTACACCTACTATGTACCCACAAAAGTTAATAAATAGTTTTAAAAAAAAAAAAGTTGAACTGCCTGAGCCTGCTGTTCAAAGTCCTTTGACACCTCCTTTCAGTGCATACATTTATACGGGCAAATCTCACTCTGGCGGCCTTTCCTAAGCCTTCCCTAAGTAATTCACTAAAATTACTTAGATGCCCATCCACAGGATACCATAATACCCATTTTAGAACTTGTCCCATTTTATTAAAATTGTCTCCTTACTAATCTGATTTCTCCAAAATACAGAAGTCCATGAGGTCAAAAATGGAGCCTCCTGTGTTGTAGAATCTCAGTATCAAGCACAATACTATGCTCAATCCTAAGATAAGCACAGACAGCTAGCCTGTAAAAAATAATAAACATTCTTTAAATAGATACCTACCTCTGTTTTGTTTTTACATTGCCCATTATATAGACACCTCACCTCACACACATACTTCTACAAAATCTACTCCTCCTCAGGGCAGAGTAGTATATGTGGTTAAGGGAAGAAATATTAATGAATTAACATCAAGGGTTAGAAAAATATCACCCAAAGTAGAGAATAACTAATGAAGGCTTGAAATTTTTTTATTATCTCTATTTCACAGGGTGCTATAGAAACCAAGGAACAAAAAGAAAAATCTGACCTTGCACAAAATCATTCTCATTAGAATTATATAATAACTAATTATATATTAAACATATAGCTAATTGTTTCAGACCTAAAAATTCTGAGACAAACTATATGAGGCTCCGATTTGTTATTTTTTCAAATAAGATTTTGGCATCTATATTAAATTATGCTTAATGTGATTTATCTACTTTAATATCCAAGCAAGTGTTTTATTCCCATAACACTATGCTATATACCTTAAATATATACAATAAAGTGTAAGTGAATTAAATAAAATATTTTACCATTGTGAGCTCTGTCTATAAGGCAGTGAGAATAATTTTAAGCTTTTTTCAAGTAGATATAAAATGAACCACTAGATGGCGCAATCGTCACTTTAAAAAGTAATGACAGCATCACGTTTAAAAATTCTTTAATAAGAATTTTTACTATAGTTTTATTTCTTTTGTGAAATTAGTTACTGATTTCCTTTTTTGTGTATGAGGTCTTTGTACATTCTATACTCTTTGTGATCTTCAAAAATAATCTTCAAAATATGCAATTTTGTAGCAGATTAATTCTGTATTTTGTTTGTCTCCATTTTAGAGAACCCTATACAATTTTCCGTTTTTTGCACAACTATTAATTTAGGTGTAACAAGCATATAAAAGTCTATGACATAAATAAAAGGTCTGGGAAGGTGTGATCAGCTGCTGTCCTCCAGCTTAACAGATTCTGATCCCTATACCTCATACCCATTCTAGAATGCGCTTTTTAGACTGGCACGGTGGTTTATTGCTCTCTGGCTCTGACAGGAATTTTAAGTTAACCCTTTCTCTCATGTACTCTTTAGTGTAGTGTTTTCAGAAGAAAGAAAGGGGGATGGTGGGGAGAGAAAGGGAAGGAAGAAAGGGAGAAAGGGAGAAAGGCAGGCAGGGAGTGAGGGAGGGAGGGAGGCCGGAGGGGGCAAAATAAACACACGGTGCCCTGACAAACAACAGTTTATCAAATATATATATATATATATATATATATATATAACAAGATATAACAATAAAATCTCAAATATTATTTATTTAAAGTTCATATATTGCATGGGACATGTATTAGTCCGTTCTCAGGCTGCTAATAAAGACATACTTGAAACTGGGTAATTTATAAAGGAAAGAGGTTTAATTGACTCACAGTTCAGCATGGCTGGGGAGGCCTCAGAAAACTTACATCATGGTGGAAGGGGAAGCAAACATGTCCTTCCTAACATGGTGGCAGGAAGGAGAAGAATGAGCGCCCATTGAAGAAGGAAGCCCCTTATAAAACCATCAGATCTCATGAGAACTAACTCATTACCATGAGAACAGGATGGGGGAAACCTCCCCCATGAGTCAATTTTCTCCACCTGGTCCCTCCCACAACACATGGGGATTATGCCAACTACAATTCAAGATGAGATTTGGGTGGGGACACAGCCAAACCATATCAGGACATACTTCTACTAAGAAAAGTTATTATTTAACTTATGTTTAAATTTAACTAGATGCTCTGCATTTTATCTGACAACTCTGCCTTTGATGGGTCTATCAGAAAGTTTTCTGCTGGGCTCCTCCCAATATCACTCTCTAAACCCAGACAAGGTGTCTCTTTCAGCTGAGTATTCCCCATTACCCCTCAGCTTCTGCTCTAGCCAGAAACCACTTACTGCCACTGTATCTTTAGCTAGAGGGACACCTCTTGGTCAAGATTCATTTTTATATGTCCTCAAGCTATTGTTCCTGACTATGAACATCCCTTTCCTGGGATTCACTCACGTTTGACTTGTCTCCAGTATGTTTGCAGCTCTTTTGGCAACCCCAGGAGCTGAGCCTGTGAGTTTGCCAATGCCAGGGAAAAACACACCAAGCTCTCCAAGTGGTCCTGCTGAATCTCTTTTCACTAGGCTTGAAGTTAGGAGACAGCAACACCATGCACAGCTTTTTCTTTAGGTGGTGGTGTGGGAGTTGGGAGAGAGACTTACAATGCAATTTTGTCTGAAGAAACAATTCTCAAAAAATTCTCTTTCAATTTTTACACTCTGAATCGTTTAAAGTCTTTGGTGTGGAGTCCAGTAATCCTATAACCAGTTATTAACTCTTTCCTTTGACAATTTAGGGTTTGAATCACAATTCATTTTGATCTCTTGGAACTTCAGTTAAAATTGACAAGTTAGCATCAGGGCAATACATAGTATGTATCCATCTCTAAACAAGTGCTCAAACCATGCGGCTTTCTCTCAACCCACAGCTGCAATTGTACCACTGGGTGGAAAGGATCATTCTGCACAGAGACAGTTTCTACCTGTGATCCTGAACATGACCCTCCACACCACTGTAGCAGAGGAGCAACCTGCATTTCATTACCTCATGGATACACCTGTTTCTGTCCTCTAGGAACCACTGGAATCTACTGTGAACAAGGTGAGGCAGAATTTCAAATCATTTTGCTGTCCACAAATATAACTAAAATTAGGAACTTCAAAGTCAGTTTTCTTTTTGAGAAGTAAAAAAGTACATATAATAAAATTCAAATCCACTGTCCTCTTTTTCTAGTATATTTGACATTATACTTCACAGATAGACTAGTACTTAAAATTCAGTAGTACAAAAAATATGGCTTTTAGTATTGCTTTAATTTATTAACTCTAAATTCTCTATTTTGTGTAGATGTTCTAAATGTTTTGTGCTAAATGCAGTTAAGTCAAGTGAGCTTAAGTTCATAACTCAGTTCCAGATCAAGACTTCATCTCTGGGAGCCTCTCCTATCTGTATTTTCCATCTCACTCAAAACTGTCAGAAATATCACAAGGCCATCAGCTTCAGAGGGAAATTAGAGAGGAGAAATGGCCCCAAGTCAAGTAGTAACAGTAAGAAGCAACAGTGTCCTAACTACTGGGGCAACTTATGGTAGTGCCTCTAAAAGAGCTCAGCAATCTCTGGGTGCTCCCAAGCTGGGCTGTGGCTAAGGGATAATGGTATTTCTAGATCTGAGCTACCTTCTCTTTAATACCTGGCTGGGACTTCCAGAATAGCATTAGGGAATCCAGGAAACTCCCAGTTAAGGAAGTTGGAGAGATTAAGCCAGGAAAATAAAGGGACATAAGGACCCACCTGCCATATCCTAGCTTCCTGAGACTGGACTATCTACTATTTCTCTATCCTGCCTCACCCACCACCCAGAAGATGAAGCTTTAGCTCTCTCTTCCCTATTTTAGAAACAGAGGCTGGGATAAAAAGAGTACAGGAGTCAATCACCAATTGTGCTATATCCACCTTTGCATTATTTGGATGTTTTATTGTAGTATCATATTCATATGTGTAAGAAAAAAATAATATTTCTAGATCACTTTATCAAATATATTAATGCAAACATTTTATTCCTATATTCCTTGATATTCTACTTAGGTTTAACTGTCCAAAAGTCAAAATTGTTAATAAATGGAAGACATTTGAGGGTTAGAATAATAGTAGTTTATGGGAAAAAATGTTTAATCATGTCTTAAGAGTGTGATTATGAAATAATGAGATGAAGTTTTGTATCTGGCTTACATAAATCAGTCTCTCATAGTGACATTAGGGATCAATCTTGATCTTTAAGAAATTGTGTTTCTTAATTCCTAGAATATGCCACACTCTTTCCTGGAGTAGAGATTTTGTGTTGCTTCCCTCTGCCTAGAATGCTTTCATCTTCTCCTCCATACCAGGTGCTATCACTTCACCTTGCTAATTTAGGGAAGCCTTTCCTGATTGTCTTTCATAGAACTGAGGGCAGTGACCATGTCTGTTGAGTATCTAGCATCCATCATATAGTGCAGAGCAAAAAAAAAAAAAAAATCGGTTAAATATTTAAACTTAATAGCAATAATAAAAACTGATTATGATGGTTTTCATAGAATAGTTCCTTAGTGAAAGGCAGAGTACTCAAAAATTAACCAAGATGAGTACCTTTATAACTCCCAAAGGAATAGCTTTTAGAAATGGAAATAAATAATATGACAAGTAACGTAAGGGCTAGTGAATTTAACAATAGGGCAAGCCACAGTTTTGATGCTTAAAGGCTCAGACAGTGAAAGTTTGAAAGATAGATTAACCCAAAATTTGTGTGGGTGTGTGGATGTATATAAATAGATTATATAGAGGGCAGATGAAGATAGATGAATGGATGTATAGATAGAAGATTAGATAGATAGATAGATAGATAGATAGATAGATAGATAGATAGATAGATAGATATACATACATACATACATATGTACATAGATATTGGAATAGTCAGAGTAATGAGATTTTACAGAAAGAAAGTCTAGAAGATTTCATTAAAGGTGCCAGAAAATGGGTGACATCCACATAGAATTCTAACACAAAGTTAACCAAAGATATACCTTGATATTCTATAAAATAACAATTTGGTTAGAATACTTTAGAATCCAGAGTACTCATTAAAATATTATACCAAGAATTCTGGTTCACACATTTTGCAAGATAGGCAATATGTCCAGTTACTTTTCTCATATACTCAAGTCTTGCTTATTTGCTCATTTATGTTATAGCTATCTTTCCTGTTATAACTTATGATTTACAACTATACATATAACCTCTCCTAAATCATAAAATCTCCTCTCAGTTTACTTTTTCCTCATATTATTGGTAAATTGCTTTTTTCATGGACTAGTTTAAATACTAAATTCTAGCTATTGTGCACCAATGACATATAGCAAGTTAGATTCCATAATGTGTGAGTTTTTTACTTTTAACCCAGCAAATATTGAAAATGTTTCCTTTTTTGTTTTCACATTTTTTCCATTCATAGTATAATTTTCTTTTCACTCATTTCTAATTCCATAAGATAAAGAAACCCACACACATGGTCATTTTGCATGAAACAGGCAAATGTTCAAACTACTTAAACATTTTTCTCATGCCAACAATTCTTTATGGTCCAACCAGTCCCTGATTTCCATTGAAACTGATTCTTACTAATGGAGATGTTCAATTCTTCAAGCCCTTCCAACACATGGGATGGTTTCCAGCCAAGTCCTTGGTTTTCCTAATAATAGAGAAATTGGTCCAACACACAGTAGATGGCAGTGTCAGGAATTATTACTGTGTTTTCCTGTTTTCAAATACTTGTTTTTCAGGTGTATTTGGCCATGTGGAACACAGCAAGCAATGCACATGCTTTCTTCATAGGAAAAAAATAAGCTTTAGGCTTTATTTCACTACTTTCAATCCCACTGTGATAATTAATAGAGGTGTAGTTACATGTGTATTAGATTCTCTATCTCTATGAACTTATAATAGTCATAAAAAGTAAAAGATAAGTAGGCACTGGCTATGATTCCTAGGAACACACATTTTACTTGTTTAGTCTTCTATGCTTTTCAGTACAACCTGCTAAATTATAAGTGAAACTCGGAGAGAAAGTGAAATGTATATAATAATTCTGAAGTTTATATGAACATCAAGGTTTGTGAGCATTTAAATGAATAGATGTGGCAGCTAAGCCTTAGTAGAGAGAAACAGACACAACTTCCATTTCTAACCTTAGACATTGGGCAAGTAACTTAACTCTCCTGAACATCAGGTTTCTCATGTGTGAAAAGGAGATATTTAAGAATCTCTGTTCGTGGGGAAATTTTGGCTAAAGTCTGGGGAGATTTCATTCTGCTTTTGTCAAGTCCTAAATTATTATTAGTTTTTACAAAACAGTGAGTGAAAAGTTAAGAACTTTAAGAGACATATCTATGAGGTTATTTTTTCAATAAAGTTCTTTTTTCATTTCCATTCAAGATAGCATTAATAAGCACAAAAAATACATACATTGAATTTTTAGTTAGCAATGGCTGAAGTTTCCTCCCTCAAAATGTTTTATATACTGAGTCATAAATACCCTGCCCCCCGTTCTAGGAAGGCAGACAAAAATAGTGTTTGTTTACAAACAGTTTCTACAAATAGGACTTGGTTGCTACTTCCCCTCAGGCAGGTCTGCCCACCTTCTTTTAAACTGAGATGATTGACAATGATGAGATCCAGCCAGTTTGGGGCAATAAGAGGAAGGCTCCCTTAGTTTTTAATTAAAATATTACTGGTGACAAGCAAGTCAAAATTATCATGACCATAGTGGAAGATACAAAGATCAGAAAATAGCTCATTATTTCGTTTCCTCCACTTGATAAAATCTTTAAAGTATACATTAAGAAAAATAGAAAAGCGAGCCTTCTAGTGCCGTGTTCTTATAGCAGCCAAGGAATATCACAAGGCAAATGGTAAAGAAAGCCCTATAGTCTGAGAGGTAGAATTGTCAAAGACTCTTCTAGCATACCTCCAAAAAGAGTATGATAAGGAATCAATAAAATAAAGAGGCCTCCACAGTGCCTAGCATATAACTAGAACTCCATTAGTATTAGTCGCCTCCTACAGAGAAAGAAAAAAAGTGTTAGATTACATTTGGGTAAAATGCAGGCCATGTTCACATAGATATTTTTATCATTTTCATTTTAATAATATGGGTTAGCTTTAATATATTCTTAAGTTGAAATATTTTAAACCTCCTATTTTAAAAAGATAATGTTTTCTATATAAAAGATGTAAAGATTTTCAAACTATAATGATAAATGTAGTAGACATTAAGTTTCCAAAATGACCAAATAAAATGTTTAAAACAACAACAACAATACTCAGCCAGGTGCAGTAGCTCATGCCTGTGATCCTAGCACTTTGGGAGGCCAAGGCAGGAGGACTGTTTGAGGCTAGGAGTTCTAGACCAGCCTGGGCAACATAGCAAAATCCTCATCTCTACAAAAAAAATAGAATAATTAGCCAGGTGTGTTCGTGCATGCCTGTAGTCCTAGCTACTCAGGAGGCTGAAGCAGGAGGAATGCTTGGGTCCACAATTCAAGGTCACAGTGAGCTGTGATCATGCCACTGCACTCCAACTTGGATGACAGAATGAGACCCTGTATCTAAATAGAAAACAAACAAACAAAGAAACTCATTCTCAATAGAGTAATAGCAAATTGTTAAATTTTAAATAATATTTGTGGAGAACCTACTCAGGCAATACGAAGAGATCCAAAGCAGTATAAAATAGTGTCCTTCTGGAATCCTCCCTTATCAGGGGAACCCACCCCCAATATTTCAACGTAGGTTCTTTCTATTTTCCCTAAGTGTCAGTTGTTCTGAGAAATAAAGAGAAAGAGTACAAAGAGAGGAATTTTACAGCTGGGCCACTGGGGGTGACATCACATATTGGTAGGTGTGTGATGCCCACCTGAGCCACAAAACCAGCAAGTTTTTATTAAGGATTTCAAAAGCAGAGGGGGTGTATGAACAGGGAGTAGGTCACAAAGATCACATGCTTCTGAGGCCAATAAAGATCACAAGGCAAAGGGCAAAGCAAGATCACAAGGCAAAGGGCAAAGTCAAAAACTCCTGATAAGGGTCTATGTTCAGCTGTGCAAGTACTGTCTTAATAAACATCTTAAACAACAGAAAACAGGGTTTCAGAGCAGAGAACCAGTCAGACCTCAAATTTACCAGGGTGGGGTTTCTTCCCCACCCTAGTAAGCCTGAGGGTACTGCAGGAAACCAGGGCATCTTTCAGTCCTTATGTCAACCGCATAACACAGACACTGCCAGAGCGGCCATTTATAGACCTCCCCCCAAGAATGCGTGCCTTTCCCAGGGTCTTAATTATCAACATTCCTTGCTAGGAAAAGAATTCAGCAATATCTTCCCTACTTGCACATCTGTTTACAGGCTCTCTGCAAGAAGAAAAATATGGCTCTATTCTGCCGGACCCTGCAGGCAGTCAGACCTTATGATTGTCTTCCCTTGTTCCCTAAAATTGCTGTTATTCTGTTCTTTTTCAAGGTGCACTGATTTCATATTGTTCAAACACACATGTTTTACGATCAATTTGTACAGTTTAACACAATAGTGGTCCTGAGGTGATGTACATTCTCAGCTTACAAAGACAACAGGATTAAGAGATTAAAGACAGGGATAAGAAATTATAAAAGTATTAATTTTGGAAACTGATAAATGTCCATGAAACCTTCATAATTTATGTTCAGAGATTGCAGTAAAGACAAGTGCAAGAAATTATAAAAATATTAATTTGGGGAACTGATAGATGTCCATATTAAAATGAAATCTTCACAATTTATGTTCCTCTGCCGTGGCTCCAGCCAGTCCCTCCGTTTGGGGTCCTGACTTCCCACAACACTCCCTAACTCACTTTATGAGGGCAGCATCATCCTGATACCAAAGCCTGGCAGAGACACAACAAAAAAGAGAATTTTAGGCCAATATCCCTGATGAACATTGATACAAAAATCCTCAATAAAATACTGGCAAACTAAATCCAGGAGCATATCAAAAAGCTTATCCACCATGATCAAGTTGGCTTCATCCCTGGAATGCAAGGCTGGTTCAACATATGCAAATCAATAAACGTAAACCATCACATAAACAGAACCAATGACCAAAACCACATGAATATCTCAAAAGATGCAGAAAAGGCCTTTGACAAAATTCAAGTCTTTCATGCTAAAAACTCTTAATAAACTAGGTATTGATGGAACATATCTCAAAATAATAAGAGCTATTTATGACAAACCCACAGACAATATCATACTGAATGGGCAAAAACTGGAAGCATTCCCTTTGAAAACCGGCACAAGACAAGGATGCTCTCTCTCACCACTCCTGTTAAAATAATATTGGAAGTTCTGGCCAGGGCAATCAGGCAAGAGAAAGAAATAAAGGTATTCAATTAGGAAAAGAGGAAGTCAAATTGTCTCTGTTTGCAGATGACATGATTATATATTTAGAAAACCCCATTGTCTCAGCCCAAAATCTCCTTAAGCTGATAAGCAACTTAAGCAAAGTCTCAGGATACAAGATCAATGTGCAAAAATCACAAGCATTCCTATACACCAATAATAGACAAACAGCCAAATCATGAGTGAACTCCCATTCACAGTTGCCGCAAAGAGAATAAAATACCTAGGAATACAATTTACAAGGGATGTGAAGGACCTCTTCAAGGAGAACTACAAACCACTGCTCAAGGAAATAAGAGAGGACACACAAACAAATGGAAGAACATTCCATGCTCATGGGTAGGAAGAATCATTATTGTGAAAATGGCCATACTGCCCAAGGTAATTTATGGACTCAATGCTATCCCCATGAAGCTACCAAAGACTTTCTTCACAGCATTGGAAAAAAACTACTTTAAATATCATAGGGAACCAAAAAAGAGCTCGTATAGCCAGGACAATCCTAAGCAAAAAGAACAAAGCTGGAGGCATCACACTACCTGACTTCAAACTGGACTACAAGGCTACAGTAACCAAAACAGCATGGTACTGGTACCAAAACAGAGAGACAGACCAATAGAACAGAACAGAGGCCTCAGAAATAACACCACACATCTACAGCCATCTGATCTTTGACAAACCTGACAAAAACAAGCAATGGGGAAAGGATTCCCTATTTAATAAATGGTTCTGGGAAAACTGGCTAGCCACATGTAGAAAGCTGAAACTGGATCCCTTTCTTAGACCTATACAAAAATTATTTCAAGATGGATTAAACAGGATATAGGCATGGGCAAAGACTTCATAACTAAAACACCAAAAGCAATGGCAACAAAAGCCAAAATTGACAAGTGGGATCTAAGTAAACTAAAGAGTTTCTGCACGGCAAAAGAAACTATCATCAGAGTGAACAGGCAACCTACAGAATGGGAGAAAATTTTGTCAATCTATCCATCTGAAAAACGGCAAATATCCAGGATCTACAAATAACTGAAACAAATTTACAAGAAAAAAACAAACAACCCCATCAAAAAGTGGGCAAAGGAAATGAACAGACACTTCATAAAAGAAGACATTTATGCAGCCAACAGACATATAAAAACATGCTCATCATCACTGATCATCAGAGAAATGCAAATAAAAATCACAATGAGATACCATCTCACACCAGTTAGAATGGTGATCATTAAAAAGTCAGGAAACAACAGGTGCTGGAGAGGATGGAGAAATAGGAATGCCTTTACACTGTTGGTGGGAGTGTAAATTAGTTCAACCATTGTAGAAGACAGTGTGGCCATTCCTTAAGAATCTAGAACTAGAAATACCATTTGACCCAGCAATCCCATTTCTGGGTATATACCCAAAGGATTATAAATCATGCTACTATAAAGACACATGCACACGTATGTTTATTGTGGCACTATTCACAATAGCAAAGACTTGGAACAAACCCAAATGCCCATCAATGATAGACTGGATAAAGAAAATGTGGCACATATATGCCATGGAATACTATGCAGCCATAAAAAGGATGAGTTCATGTCCTTTGCAGGGACATGGATGAAGCTGGAAACCAGCATTCTCAGGAAAATATCACAAGGACAGAAAACCAAACACCACATGTTCTCACTCATAAGTGGGAGCTGAACAATGAGAACACATGGACATAGGGTGGGGAACATCACACACTGGGCCCTGTTGTGGAGTGGGGGGCTGGGGGAGGGATAGTGTTCAGAGAAATACCTAATGTAAACGACAAGTAGATGGGTGCAGCAAACCAACATCACACATGTATACCTATGTAACAAACCTGCATGTTGTGCACATGTACCCTAGAACTTAAAGTATAATAATAAAAATAAATAAATAAATAAAATAGTGTCCCTCCATTCAAAGAGCTAACTATTTAGGTTAAGACCAGGCAAAAGTTTGTAAAAATTAAATGTGAGTATATAATTTAGATAAAAGTTCAGGGAAAAAGAGTAAGAAATATCCTAAGATATTGAATGCTTTAATTGCCAGATCAGTGACATGATAAATGCATTATTTCTGCTAGTTGGACCTAAATGGGCATTAGAAAGTGATAGAATTAATTAGGTTTCAAAGGATGGGTAAGACTTGAGTAGACTCATGAGAGAAGGAGATAGCTTTCCTAAGGTGAGAACCACTTCAGAAAAGCATGAGGAGGAATGGAAGGGTGGACTTGCATATATAAGTAAACCCCTTCATCTGAAAAAAACATTTCTAGCAGATAAGGTCTGAATTATTAAAATACCAGTGAGAGCAGAAGAAAAGATGATATGGTTTAGCTCTCTGTCTCCACTCAAATCTCATCTCAAATTGTAACTCCCATGTATCAAGGGAGGGATTGTAATCCCAACATCTAGAGGGAGGGAGGGGATTGGATCATGTGGGGCAGTTTTCCCCATGCTATTCTTATGATAATGAGTGAGTTCTCATGAGATCTGATGGTTTTATTAATATAAGTGTTTGGAAGTTCCTCCTCTGTGCTTCTCTCTCCTGCCACTATGTGAAGAAGGTCCTTGCTTCCCATATAGCAGTGTGAAAATAGACTAATACAGAAGATTTTTTTTAAAATCTAGATTTAAAAATCTCCAGGACTTGTTTACTGAGCTAAAACATATGCCTTCCAAATAGATGGGTCTCAACATTTCTGAATTGGATGATGATTATTCAAAATTTAAAAACCTAGATGACACATGTACATAATCAATGGAATCTGCCAAAACCTTCTGTAAATAAGCCTTTGAGACTCCTAAAACATCCATAAATCTTCCTATACAATTTACCCAGCTTAATATTATTATGACACTTCCAAATAGCATAAGAATAGCATAAAAGAGAGCTCACTGTAAAAAATATATATACATATATATATATATATATATATATATACACACACACACATACACACACATATTTTTTAGTAGCCAAGATACTGACAGAAAAAGAAAATATGCCCTCTTACCAAGAAAAGAAAAGAAAATGGAAAAATTAAGAAGGGACAGGAAGAAAAAAATCAAAAAAGACCAAACAAGACTAGTCTAAAACATGACAAACGACTGCACATAAAACTAGCTTTGGGTTTCTGGGAAGTCTAAGCAAAATATAACATACAACAGGTTGCTACTCAATAAAAGAAAACATTCCAGCCATCACACCAAAAACAGAGCACTACGTCCTGGTACTGAACTCTAATAAAAATGTATTGAGCAAACTTCAATTTAAGAAAAGCAATTAAGGGCAGGCGCGGTGGCTCACACCTGTAATCCCAGCACTTTGGGAGGCCGAGGCAGGAGGATCACGAGGTCAGGAGATCGAGACCATCCTGGGTAACACGGTGAAACCCCGTCTCTACTAAAAATACAAAAAAAAATTAGCCAGGCATGGTGGTGGGTGCCTGTAGTCCCAGCTGCTGGGGAGGCTGAGGCAGGAGAATGGTGTGAACCTGGGAGGCAGAGCTTGCAGTGAGCCGAGATTGCGCCACTGCACTCCAGCCTGGGTGACAGAGTGAGACTCCCTCTCAAAAAAAAAAAAAAAAGAAATTAAACAATTATGTTATCTTGGAGGACAATTTTCTAGAAAATGAAGAGACTCTATATAGATGGCCATTTCTTATACTGACACACAATAAAGGCTGTAATAATATTATAGGCATAATATTCATAGTACTATAAATATATTGTCATAAGCTAAGTTAATATAGTAGCTTGCTAATGATCTGGCATGTTACTAGAATAATAGTGAATTATCTAAGGGAGAAATTATTTAACACTCATTAGATGGTTACTCTTGGATATCAATTGTGTCAGCCAGAAAATAGTCAAAAAATTAAAACTTAAAGTCCCTGTAGAAGTCCAGGTATCCTAGTTATTGATTGAAAGGATCACTATATGCTTTATTTTCTAGATTTATAGTTGACAAACTCGATGTTTTATTGCAAAAATTTTAAAGTTTACCTTGGCATCTGTTCAACCCCCAAATTGTGCTTCACAAAACATGGAATAGAACACCACATCCTAGAAGATTTTGGTAGCAGGAGTCACCAGATGTCTTTGCCTATCATAAAACAATCATGCGATTTTGTAAAATGCTTAATTTTTAAGCAACACATCATCCTGATGGGTTTCCAAAGATCATTCAGAACAAAATAGCCACCCAAATAACTAAATGACTTAAACTGTTAAGTAGAGTTGTTCAGCATTATCCATCTGAGTCCTGAGGAAAGTGTGCCTAAAGGGATGATTTTATTTTTTCTATAATTGATACTTAACCATTCCTTCTGTTAGCAATTAGACAACAGGTTTAATTGCTCATTCACACAACTCCCAGTGGACTCTGACAATAATCCATTCCTTCAGCAAAGAAAGATGCTCAGCTTTCATTTTTGCTACAGTAACTAGGTGTGTACCTAGTTAATTTAAAATTTGTCAGACTGCTTAAATTGAAATGGAGAGGTAAAGTCGTAACACTTCAAATAGTTAAGGATGGAAGAAAAGTTCTTTTTAATCTATTAGATTCTTATTGTGATAAAGCTTTAAAGAAGAGCTTACAAGCCAACATAAAATCATATGCACTTATCCATAGACCAAAAGGCAAATAATAGATTAATACATGCTACAAAAAGTCTTAAATTATTCTTACCTCTTTTTCTCTGCTAACTGAACAGAAAATGCCTATGGTACAGTAGAAGAGCTGTGGCTAAAGTCAAAATGTTTTTTATTAAACAAAATGAAATGAAAGTATTTTAATTAAGAATCCTGCAATTTGGTAAGAACAAAGTTAATTTTATCTGCAAAGATTATCCATTTAAACTCATAGCCTTATAGTATGTACAGATAAAGACCTGTTTATGACATAGACTAAGCTTTGAGTCCATCTTAAAGAACAACGCTCTGGGAATTAATCTATTTTAGAAATCTTGAGGTACACCACCAAGAACAGGATGATTTGGTAGCAAATAACCATCAGTAGGAATTGTTCAACTTAAAGTGATTAAATAGATGTGCTGAAATAATCAAAATTAGTGCATCCAAGGTAAGAGTGGTGAAATTCACAAAGCATATTGCAGAGCTTTAGATTTGGAGGAAAAAGTTACACTTTAAAAGTAGAAGTGCAGGTCAGCATAGATAGACTAGGAAGCTACAGGCTCTCCTTCCCCAACAAAGACACCAAATTAACAATAATATGTGGACCACAATTCCTCTGTGATAATGCTGGAGACCAATTGAGAATCTATAGCACTAAGGCTATTGTAAGACAAAGACGGAATTCCAGTGAAAGGTGTAGGAAAATCTGCGGCATTTGTCACACACATTTGTTCCCCTTCCTCTATGCAGCATCACACAGAGCAACTGGAAGGAATCCTCTATATGAGTTCTCCTCCCTTGGGACAGAAATAAACAGTAGAACATGAGTCCAATGTTCTGGCTTGTCTGAGGGCTGCCCAAAGGACTCATTTCTGTACCACCTGACTCAGAGTGCTGACAGTATTGACACCAGAATTCAGAAGCCACTGGAAACAAAGGTGGAGTGGAATATTAGAAATGCAGTTCAGCAGGCAGATTCCAAGGAGAGTAAGAGATTAGAAGGGTTTGAGAGGTCTTCCAGCTGGGCTGATTAAAGAAGGTCTTCTCCTGTACAAAGTCAGAATATAAAAACTGGGATAGAGGGTATTTTTCAAATGCTCAAACCCAAGCAAAAAATTACAAGGCATACAAAGAAACAGCAGAACATGACTAAATCAAAGGGACAAAATAAAACTCCAGAAATCAACCCTAACGAATGCAGATATATGAGCTGCTTAACAAGGATTTTAAATAACTGTCACAAGGATCTCAATATGTTAAAAAGATAACATAGGCAACTAAAGAAATCAGGAAAATTATGCATGAACAAAATAAGACTGTCAACAAAGATAAATAAACTATATTAAAAAACAGAAACCTATAGCAGAAAAATACAAAAACTGAACTGAACAATTCATTATAGGGGTTTAACAGCAGACTTGATCTGACAGGAGAAGGAATTGGCAAACTTGAAATCAGGTCATTTAAAATTATTGAGAGATTTGGGCAAGATGGCCAACCAGACACAGCCAGGTGGAACAGCTGTCACCAAGGGACTAGGACAAGTGGCACACAGTCCTAGCAGATCTTCAGAGGGAAGGCACTGAGAGCAGACTGAGGGAAGACACAGAAGCCAGGCTGAAGAGGGAGGAAGTTGGGACCCCTGGAGGGGGCTACTATGCACCAGTACTTGTTCCTGACCCCCAGTGACTCTGGGGGAATGGGTGAGTTGAACTGGCAAGGAACAACCCACTCTCACCACAGGCCTCTGGAATCCTGGCAGCAGGAGACCCCTTGACCACCACAGACACTTGAGTTGGCAGGAAAACCTGCTTGGAGAAGTGATGGGGAAGGATATCAGCCGATACAGAGCCCAGAGGGTTTGGAATGGGAGCATCTGTAGACAGATCATCAAGGCAGAAAATTAACAAAGATATTCAGGACCTAAACTCAGTACTGGATCAAACATACGTGACAGACATCTACAGAACTCTCCACCCAAAAACAACAAAATATACATTCTTCTCATTGTCACATGGCACACACTCTAAAATTGACCACATAATCAGACATAAGATACTCCTCAGCAAATGCAAAAGAACTGAAATCATAACAACCACTCTGTCAGATCACAGTGCAATGAAGTAAGAAATCAAGACTAAGGAAATAGCTCAAAATCATACAATTACATGGAAATTGAATATCCTGTTCCTGAATGACTCTGGGGTAAACAATGAAATTAACATAGAAATCAAGAAGTTCTTTGAAACTAATGAGAACAAAGATACAACACACCAGGATCTCTGGGACACAGCTAAGACAGTGTCAAGAGGATAATTTACAGCACTGAACACCCATATCAAAAAGTTAGAAAGATAGCAATTTAACAACCTAACATCACAACTAAAAGAACTAGAGAACCAAGAGCAAATCAAGCCCAAAGCTAGCAGAAGAAAGAAATAACCAAAATCAGAGCTGAACTGAAGGAGATTGAGACACAAAAAATCATTCAAAAGATCAACAAATCCAGGAGTTGTGTTTTTGAAAAAATAAAATAAAATAGACCACTAGCTAGACCAATAAAGAAGAAAAGAGAGAAGATCCAAATAAACACAATTAGAAATAACAAGGGGGATATTACCACTAACTCCACAGAAATACAAATAATCATCAGAGAATATTGTAAACACTTCTATGCACACAAATTTGAAAATCTAGGAAAAATAGATAAATTCCTGGATACATACACCCACCCAAGACTGAACCAGAAAGAACCTGAATCCCTGAAAAGACCAATAATGAGCTCCAAAATTAAATCAATAATAACTAGCCTACCAACCAAAAAAAGCCCAGGACCAGACAGATTCACAGCTGAATTCTACCAGATGTACAAAGAAGAGCTGATACCGTTCCTACTAAAACTATTCCAAAAAATTGATGAGGAGGGACTCCTCCTTAACTCATTCTATGAGACCAGCATTATCCTGGTACCAAAATCTGGCAGAGATACAACAAAAAAGAAAACTTTAAGCCAATATCCTTGATAAACATTGATGCAAAAATCCTCAAAAAAGCACTGGCAAACCAAGTCCAGCAGCACATCAAAAAGCTTGTCCACCAAAATCAAGTAGGCTTTATCCCCAGGATGCAAAGTTGGTTCAACAATAGCAAAGATATGGAACCAACCTAACTGTCCATCAACAGATGACTTTTGTACCAGTACCATGCTGTCTCAGTTACTGTAGTCTTGTAGTATAATCAACCTAAGTGTCCATCCACAGATGACTTTTGTCCAGTATCATGCTGAGAGATTGTGTCACCACCAGGCCTGCCTTTACCAAAGCTCCTGAAGGAAGCACTAAATGTGGAAAAGAAAAACAGGTACCACCAACTGCAAAAACATACCAAATTATTAAGATCAGTGACACTATGAAGAAACTGCATCAACTAACGGGCAAAATAACCAGCTAGCATCATAATGACAGGATCAAATTCACAAATAACAATATTAACCTTAAATGTAAATGTGCTAAATGCCCCAATTAAAAGACACAGACTGGCAAATTGGATAAAGAGTCAAGAACCCTCGGTGTGCTGTATTCAGGAGACACATCTCATGTGCAAAGACACACATAGGCTCAAAATAAAGGGATGAAGGAACATTTACCAAGCAAATGGAAAGCAAAAATAAGCAGAGGTTGCAATCCTAGTCTCTGATAAAACAGACTTGAAACCAACAAAGGTCAAAAAAGACAAAAAAAAGGACATTACATAATGGTAAAGGGATCAATCCAACAAGAAGAGCTAACTATCCTAAGTATTTATACACCCAATGCAGGACCACTCAGATTCATATAACAAGTTCTTAGAGCCCTGCAAAGAGACTCAGACTCCCACACAATAATAATGGCAGACTTTAACACCCCACTGTCAATATTAGACAGATCAACAAGACAGAAAATAAACAAGGATATTCAGGACTTGAACTTAGCTCTGGAGCAAGAGGACCTAATAGACATCTACAGAACTCTTTACCCCAAATCAACAGAATATACATTCTTCTCAGCACCACATCGCATTTATTCTAAAATTGACCGCATAATTGGAAGTAAAACACTCCTCAGCAAATGCAAAAGATGGAAATCTTAACAAGCAGTCTCTCAGACCACAGTGCAATCAAATTAGAACTCAGTGTTAAGAAACTCACTCAAAACCACACAACTGTGTGGAAACTCAACAACCTGCTCCCAATTGGCTACTGGGTAAATAATGAAATTAAGGCAGAAATAAATAAGTTCTTTGAAACCAGTGAGAACAAAGACACAATCTTTTTGTGTTTGTGTACCAGAATCTTTAGGACACAGCTAAAGCAGTGTTTAGAGGGAAATTTATAGCACTAAATGCCCACAGGAGAAAGTGGAAAAGATGTAAAATCATCACCCGAACATCACAATTAAAAGAACAGGAGAAGCAAGAGAAAACAAAATTCAAAAGCTAGCAGAAGACAAGAAACAACTAAGATCAGAGCAGAACTGAAGGAGATAGAGACACAGAAAACCCTTCAACAAATCAATAAGTCCCAGGAGCTGGCTTTTTGAAAAGATTAACAAAATAGATAGATTGCTAGCCAGACTAGCCAGACTAAGAAAAAAAAGAGAAGAATCAAATAGACACAGTAAAAAATGATAAAGGGGATATCACCACTGATCCCACAGAAATACAAACTACCATCAGAGAATACTATAAGCACCTCTATGCAAATAAACTGGAAAAATGTAGAAGAAATGGATGAATTCCTGGACACATACACCCTCCCAAGACTAAACCAGGAAGAAGTTGAGTCCACGAATAGACCAATAACAAGTTCTAAAATTGAGGCAGCAATTAATAGACTACCAACCAAAAACAGCCGAGGACCAGATGAATTCACAGCCAAATTCTACCAGAGGTACAAAGAGGAGCTGGTACTGTTCCTTCTGAAACTACTCCAATCAATAGAAAAAGAGGGCCTCCTTTGTAACTCATTTTATGAGGCCAGTATCATCCTGATACCAAAGCCTGGCAGAGACACAACCAAAAAAAGAGAATTTTAGACCAATATCCCTGATGAACATTGATGCAAAAATCCTCAATAAAATACTGGCAAACTAAATCCGGCAGCACATCAAAAACTTATCCACCATGATCAAGTCGGCTTCATCCCTGGGATACAAGGTTGGTTCAACATATGCAAATCAATAAACATAATCCATCACATAAACAGAACCAATAACAGAAACCACATGATTATCTCAATAGATGCAGAAAAGGCCTTTGACAAAATTCAACACTCCTTCATGCTAAAAACTCCCAATAAACTAGGTACTGATGGAAAGTATCTCAAAATACCACAGACTGGGTGGCTCAAGCAATAAAAATGTATTTCTCACAGTCTGGAGGCTGAAAGTCTAAGAGCAGTGTGCCAGAATGGTTAGGTTCCAGCAAGGGCTCTCTTCCTGGCTTGTAGACAGCTGGCTCTACCTGTGTCCTCACATGGTACACACAGAGAGAGAGCATGCTCTGTGGTGTTTCTTCTTATAAGGATACTAATTCTACTGGATTACAACTCCAACATCACAACCTCATTTAACCTTAATTACTTCAGTAAAAGTCTTATCTCCAAATACTGTCACACTGGGGATTAGGGCTTCAACATATGTATTTGGGAAGACAGAAATATTTAGTCCATAATATACATTTTTAAACTATTTTGGTCTTTGTTTCTTTGAAAATATAATAAGACCATCCAACATCCATCTAAATCACTTTCTTTCTGTATGAAGTACATTCTTTAAAATTTCCTTAGTGTTTGTTAGAGACATATCATCTATTACTCTTTATGTGAATAGGCATTTTGCTCTTTTACTTGAAAGTTTGTTTTTGACTGTGAAAGTGTGTTGACAGTTATTTTCTCACAACACATTGAAGATCTCATTGTCCCCTTGACTTCAGTTGTTGCAACTGAAGTCTGAATTCAAGTTGTTGGCAGGGCCATGTTCGTTTGAAGCCTCTAGAGGCAGTTTCTTCTTTTCCTCTTTCAGCTTTTGGTAGCTCCAAACATTCCCTTGCCTATAGGTGCATCACTCCAATCTCTGCCCTCGTATTAACATAGCATTCTTCCTGTGTGTCTGTGGCAATAATGGTGATTTATTTCTAATTCACCCTTTCACTGAGTGTATCTTTAGGGTTCCAGTTTTTTGGTGGAAAGCCTCCTTTTACATATGAAGTGATTTCTAGGCTTCTCTCTTGTCCACATGTCCTTGAACAGTTGAAGATTAAACTTTGGATTTAGCAGATTTGGCAAATATGCTCGAGGAAAAAGCTGGCTTTATCATTCTACTTATCTATTTAGCTTCTATTTTCTTTTTTCACCTTTTTTGGCATCTGAATATTCTTTTTTCTTGCCAGGTCATCAATTTATTGGAAAAGATGTTTTCAAATAATTTATCCAACATTTTTGGTGGTTTTCATGATGGAGATGAGGTAAATCATGTTATCTAATCTACTATACTGCTGGAAACAAAAGTCAACTATTGGATTTATTTTAAAAGAAGCCCATCTGGCCGGGCGCAGTGGCTCATGCCTGTAATCTCAGCACTTTGGGAGGCCAAGGCGGGCAAATCACCTGAGGTCAGGAGTTCGAGACCAGCTTGGCCAACATGGGGAAACCCCGTCTCTACTAAAAACACAAAAATTAGCCGGGTGTAGTGGTGGGCGCCCGTAATCCCAGCTACTCGGGAGGCTGAGGCAGGAGAATCGCTTGAACCCAGGAGGCAGAGGTTGCAGTGAGCCAAGATTGCGCCACTGCACTCCAACATGGGTGACAGAGCAGAACTCTGTCTCAGAAAAAAAAAAAAAAGAAAGAAAGAAGCCCTTCTGACCAGTATTGCATAAAGCATTAAAAACTATAGAAGAAAGTTAAAAGTGCTATGAGAGGACATTGCAAGTGGGAACACCATCACTTGGTCCCAAGTTTTGAGGAGCAGATACTGCTAGACCCTGATCAGTGATTTTAAGGGTAGGGAAGGGACACTGATAAAGAAAAAGGTCCTTCCATAGTAGTACATTTAATGTGCCAGCCTGTAACTTATCCCTCCATCCTCATTAAAGCAGCAAGAAAGAAGATAAAACAGTGTCCTTTTTCCTTTTTAAAATGCATTTGGTGTAAAAAATAATGAGGTATGCCCAATATCATGGTAACTCAAAGACAGCTTAACTGATGAATTAAAAATTAAAGTATGCTTGAACACAAGCAAGATATGGAGTATGCATGAGAAAAAAATACATTATAATAAAAAGAAAAGAGAAGCCACTAAAATATATTCATAATCCAAGTATTTTTATAGTTCATTATTTGGTGTGTGTTTTCAGGGAGTACTTCACTATTTTCAAAACCTAAAATGAGAAAATATGTCACAAAAGATGCTGCCTCATAACATCTACAAATCTTCTCATACCATTTCCCTCACTACTGCTGCCTCAAATTGCAACCTGGTGGCTCCAGACAACCCTCCTGTCAGGGACCTCACCCATTACTGCTAGAGACATCAAAGTGCCAGAGTTCAACTGTTTATTTTGTTTGTTTGGTTGGTTGTTTTTGGCAGAAGTGTGGAGATTTCTCTTCCTTTTTAGATTGTGCTTGCTTTGAAGAATACTCAAATGTTCTTCTTTAAACTCAATGTCTCCCAGAATCTTAGTAAGAATGACTCTTCTAGTATCTTTAATTGTAGTCTCCTCTACTTTCCTATGCTGAATCTGGATATAGTTTTGGAGACAAACGGTGCATCAAATTAGCAAACCAATCTAACTGGCAAATATCATGCAGCTCACAAAAATTGCCCTGTCCTTCCATCTGACAACTTGAATGCTTGGTTACTAGGCAAACCTGTCTGCAAAACTATTTCTTTGATATGAGTAATCTCCTAGGAAACTTCTAAGTCTTAAATGTAAGTAGATTTCTGGCAGACATCACCATTCTACCAGACATGCCCAACAAATATAAAACACAACAGAAGATATTACTTAGGTGCAAGCTGATACACCTGCCAAACTATATTTGAATTCTAATTAGAATTCTAATTCCTTCCTGGAAAATCTTACCCTAAGTCAGAGGTTGTCTGAATCACTGTGCAATGAGATATTAAATTTTTCCTGTTGTCTAAAAGTTCAGGCCAAGGCCTCAAAGTTAATAATAAGTATAATGTATACCCACAAGTCTAAAAACAGTTTATGAATAATGAGATATCACTATGCATCTACTGGAACACCTAAAATTAAAAAATAATGACAATGCCAAATGCTGGCAGGGATATAGAGAAACTAGATCCCTCACATATTGTTGGTTAGAATGTAAGATGGTATAGCCGCTATAGAAAAAAGTATGGCAGTTTCTTATAAAACAAAACATACATTAACCATACAACCCTGCAATCACATTGCTGGACATTTATACAGAAAAAAAAAAGAAAACTTACGTCCACACAAAATCACATACACAAATGGTCTCAGCAGAATTATTATAATAGCCAAATCCTAAAAACTACCCAAATGTCCTTCAATGGATGAATGGTTAATCAAATCTTATAGAATTGTCCCATGGAATACTGCTCAGAAATAAAAAGAAATGAATCAGGCATGTATTGAATCAGGATCTCAAGGGCATTATGCTGAGTGAAAAGAACTGATAGATAATCCAGATAGAGTATGCCAAGAGATGGTACCATTGGTCCATCATTTGCTCCCAGCCTATATTGTGGGGTAGGGGTAGTATCTAAGAGAACTGGTTCTGAAAAAAGGGGTTTTTGTTTTTTGGGTTTTCTTGAAGAGCATTATTGGCATAGGAAGAGGGGTTAGGATGTACTCAAAAAATGAGTGAGAAAGGAATCAAAATGTACTCAAAGAAAGTAAAGGCTCTTGCCACAAGGAAAGCCTAAGATTTCCTTTCTGGGGTTGTCAATTTCTGCTGAGCTGACATTGGCTGTGAAACAGGAGTGGAGCATGAGAGAACAAGATCTCAGAGTCAGACCTATGTCCCTGGAGTGACAGAAGACTTAAGACCAGTGCCTGACCCACATCCAAAGTAGCTTAAAGCCAAGAGGCTGGCTGTAGCTTTCCCTAAAAGCAAAGCCAGAGGTATAGCAGCTGGGGAACAGAGGTGCACACCAAGATAAGCAGGCATGAGTCACCTTAAAAAAAAACCTTGACCAGAAAGGTAAGTTGTCTCAAGAGGAAATGTGCTGGAGGCCTCCCACAAGAGCAAAAGCTGATTTGGATTCATAAATGGTCTGCCAAGAAGCATCAGCCTTGTCAAGAACTGCAGGACAGATGTACAAGTGAAGAGTTAAAGAGGTTTCAAAGATCCAAAGAGTGTCTGCCACGACAGAAGATATTAGACTGCTGATAAAGAGCCACAAATAGCAGCAGACAAAAAAGACCCTTCTCTTGTCTTCTTAGCACTTATCCTCATTGTGATCTTGGAAAAGCCAAAACCAGCAGAACGGAAAGTGAAGAAGGAGGGTAAGGACCAGTACAAACAGCAAAACAAAAACATACGACTACCCTGACTACCCTAGTACAGCTTTCTAAATTTGAGTCAGATGAGCTGTGGAAAAAGGATTGGAGCTTAGAATTAGGTGAAATGTTGACAGTTTGATTCAGATTGAACGGGGTCTCTTAGTACCTGAAAATGGGAACTTTTCACTGAAACCTGAAAATGACAACAGATCTAACAAATTTACCCAAGGTACCATCAAGGATGAGAATGAAAGATCTCACAGACATCTCCAAAGGGGAATCACAGGGGAAAATCAAGCTACTTATTGGCTGACTCCTACCAAGTTCAGCCCTTTCAATAAATTGTGACAAATCCTTGAATCTTTTTCTTGATCTTTGATATTATGCCAGTCTGTGCTCTCCCTGAAGCAATCTTTTGCTCATATTAAAAACATCTTCCTTTGATATTCCATATCATTTATCCTTAAGTGTTTTGAGAACACATATCTTTACTCAAAATATTGTTTTAGAAATCTATGGATTTCATAAATCAGATGGTACTTCATTGCAATCCAAGTGTTTCCACTTCACTAATCAGCCTATTCTATTTTCTTTTTTACTAGATGGTATTGGCCAGTTAATGCTGCACTTGTTAAACAGGAGTAAATATAAATATTATTAATCTCTCTGAGGGATTCTATTTATAATAAAGACCATAAAAGTGGTGATCATGAGTGAAGTTTGTGTAATTTAGAAGTAACTTGAATTATTAGTTATTATTCCTCTCAGAAAACTAACCACTAACGCTTCTGAAACAGCCCCTTACTCTGACCATCCCTGAAGCTATTGGCCAGAACTCAGTAGATCAGTTATCCAAGAAGAGCAGTTGTGGCGTTTTATTCTTAATTAACCTATATGGATTTCTAAAGTCTCCCAAAGATGATTCACTGCCAGAAAAACTTGGTATGAGTCACTGAAAACCCTGGACCTTTCCCAAATTCTACCTCAAAATGAACAACAGAGGAAACGTTGAGCAGCTAATTTAATGATGATAGATGCTACTTACTAAATCAGAGTCCTTTGAATCCTATTTGTGGTTTCTGTGAAGTCCTATTTGTGGCTTCTCTCTGCTTCTAGAGGCAGACCCATTCACACCCAAAAGGCATCAGAATTTTCAGTACTCAAGCTGTAAAACCTTAATGCACATAACAATAAAAGTATCAACTATCTATGCATTGTTTCAAAACACAGAATCCATTCTAAATATTTCTTCATCTATCTCATCTTTAAAATAGATCCATCCCTTATCTAGGAACATGAGACACTGACATTTTTAAACACATAGCTTTATTATAAGAATTTCAAACCAGGTGAGAGAAATGGGAGGTGCCAACTTATATTCAGCTCTTCAAGCAAAGTGTTTTGAAAACAAAAGTCAGGATCTGTATTAGTCCATTTTCATGCTGCTGATAAAGACACACCTGGAACTGGGAAGAAAAAGAGGTTTAATGGACTTACAGTTCCACATGGCTGGAGAGGCCTCACAATCATGGCAGAAGGCAAGGAGGAGCAAGTCACGTCTTACATGGATGGTGGCAAGCAAAGAGAAGAGAGCTTCTGCAGTGAAACTCCCATTTTAAAACCATCAGATCTCGTGAGACTTATTCACTATCAGAACAGCACAGGAAAGACCTGCCCCCATGACTCAATCACCTCCCACTGGGTTCCTCCCATAACATGTGGAATTCAAGATGAGACTTGGGTGGGGACACAGCCAAACCATATCAGGGTCTTAATTAACATCTGGAATATAGCATTTCAACCTAATTAGGACTACACTTCGTTATACACATTATCTTTTTGGAATTTTTGTGGTTCCAAAAGTGCTGAATATTTTCATGTAATCTTAAGTGCTATAAATAAGAAAATTAATACTTTCTGCCGGGCATGGTGGCTCACACCTGTAATCCCAGCACTTTGGGAGGCTGAGGTGGGTGGATCACGAGGTCAGGAGTTCGAGACCAGCCTGGCTAACATGGCAAAACCCCGTCTCTACTAAAAAAAAAAAAAAAAAAAATAGCTGGGCGTGGTGGCATGCACCTGTAATCCCAGCTACTCAGGAGGCTGAGGCAGGAGAATTGCTTGAACGCAGGATGTAGAGGTTGCAGTGAGCCAAGATCACACCACTGCATTCCAGCCTAGGAGACAGAGCAAGACTCTGTCTTGGGGGTGGGGGGAATAAGTTTACTTTTTAATTCATAAAGTAAAATAGTAGCAAGGTCAATGTTGAATTTCCTTGAAGTGAATGTTATGGTACATAATGCAGATCTGCACCCCACCCCTTTCTAAATGGAGGTACTCACTTCCTCAACTTTTGGGAATATTGCCAACAGAGAGTTCAAAGGTAAGTCCCTCACGAGGACTGAAGAGAGCTGCCTTGTCCAAGGTTACACCACCTCACCAGTGACAGCTTTAATCCAATAACTGTTTAAAGAGAAGATGACAGGAAGAGAGGGGTGCTCCAAAGACCTGGCCACTTTGCTTCAATGTGAAATGACTCTAAAGAGCTCCAGGGAGCTCCAGAGCTCCCTGTGAAATCAGCTGCCAACTTCTCCCTCTTGCTGTTTTCTCCCTCACACATGTTGCTTCCAAGCACACTCTCCAATAAACCTCCCATACACTAAGTTCCATCCCAGAGTCTGCTTCTAGAAAAATAACCTGAGACAGGAGGACACAGGAACCAGCTTGAAGGAGCTCTAGCTGGCCAAATCAGGGAGAATTTGATAAACAAAACAATTATGATAATAGATTACAATCCATTAAATAAAAATAATGATACCATACCGATAGAAAGGAGGGGAGGAAGGAGGGAGGCAGGGAAAAATGAAAGAGGAAATGAAGGAGGATGAGAAAAAGGAAAGATCTTCCATACATTTATTTATTAGTGGAATTCCAGCTAATAAACGTAACACGAATGATGTAAGTAGATAATCAGTATGTAGCAACGATCTCCAAAAGGTAGTTAATTCCTGCTGGAGTCATCGATGAAAGTTAATGCTGCTAGTGGGTGGAGATTAGTTGAGGATCAGGATATGGATATAATTTTTGAATACTTTTGCCTGACGTAGAAATGAATTACAAGGGAAAATGGAGAATTTTTTTTATGTGTGTATATATGTCTGTATGTATTTTTTTTATAATTATACTTTAAGTTTTAGGGTACATGTGCACAATGTGCAGGTTAGTTACATATGTATACATGTGCCATGCTGGTGTGCTGCACCCATTAACTCGTCATTTAGCATTAGGTATATCTCCTAAAGCTATCCCTCCCCCCTCCCCCCACCCCACAACAGTCCCCAGAGTGTGATGTTCCCCTTCCTGTGTCCATGTGTTCTCATTGTTCAATCCCCACCTATGAGTGAGAATATGGGGTGTTTGGTTTTTTGTTCTTGCGATAGTTTACTGAGAATGATGATTTCCAATTTCATCCATGTCCCTACAAAGGACATGAACTCATCATTTTTCATGGCTGCATAGTATTCCATGGTGTATATGTGCCACATTTTCTTAATCCAGTCTATCATTGTTGGACATTTGTGTTGGTTCCAAGTCTTTGCTATTGTGAATAGTGTCACAATAAACATACGTGTGCATGTGTCTTTACAGCAGCATGATTTATAGTCCTTTGGGTATATACCCAGTAATGGCATGGCTGGGTCAAATGGTATTTCTAGTTCTAGTTCCCTAAGGAATCTCCACACTGACTTCCACAAGGGTTGAACTACTTTACAGTCCCACCAACAGTGTAAAAGTGTTCCTATTTCTCCACATCCTCTCCAGCACCTGTTGTTTCCTGACTTTTTAATGATTACCATTCTAACTGGTGTGAGATGATATCTCATTGTGGTTTTGATTTGCATTTCTCTGATGGCCAGTGATGGTGAGCATTTCTTTATGTGTTTTTTTGGCTGCATAAATGTCTTCTTTTGAGAAGTGTCTGTTCATGTCCTTCACCCACTTTTTGATGGGGTTGTTTGTTTTTTTCTTGTAAATTTGTTTGAGTTCATTGTAGATTCTGGATATTAGCCCTTAGTCAGATGAGTAGGTTGCGAAAATTTTCTCCCATTTTGTAGGTTGCCTCTTCACTCTGATGGTAGTTTCTTTTGCTGTGCAGAAGCTCTTCACTTTAATTAGCTTACCAACCAAAAAGAGTCCAGGACCAGATGGATTCACAGCCAAATTCTACCAGAGGTATAAGGAGGAACTGGTACCATTCCTTCTGAAACTATTCCAATCAATAGAAAAAGAGGGAATCCTCCCTAACCCATTTTATGAGGCCAGCATCATCCTGATACCAAAGCCGGGCAGGGACACAACCAAAAAAGAGAATTTTAGACCAATATCCTTGACGAACATTGATGCAAAAATCCTCAATAAAATACTGGAAAACCAAATCCAACAGCACATCAAAAAGCTTATCCACCATGATCAAGTGGGCTTCATCCCTGGGATGCAAGGCTGGTTCAATATATGCAAATCAATAAATGTAATCCAGCATATAAACAGAACCAAAGACAAAAACCACATGATTATCTCAATAGATGCAGAAAAGGCCTTTGACAAAATTCAACAACACTTCATGCTAAAAACTCTCAATAAATTAGGTATTGATGGGATGTATCTCAAAATCATAAGAGCTATCTATGACAAACCCACAGCCAATATCATCCTGAATGGGCAAAAACTGGAAGCATTCCCTTTGAAAACTGGCACAAGACAGGGATGCCCTCTCTCACCACTCCTATTCAACATAGTGTTGGAAGTTCTGGCCAGGGCAATTAGGCAGGAGAAGGAAATAAAGGGTATTCAGTTAGGAAAAGAGGAAGTCAAATTGTCCCTGTTTGCAGATGACATGATTGTATATCTAGAAAACCCCATTGTCTCAGCCCAAAATCTCCTTAAGCTGATAAGCAACTTCAGCAAAGTCTCAGGATACAAAATCAACGTATAAAAATCACAAGCATTCCTATACACCAATAACAGACAAACAGAGAGCCAAATCATGAGTGAACTCCCATTCACAATTGCTTCAAAGAGAATAAAATACCTAGGAATCCAACTTACAAGGGACGTGAAGGACCTCTTCAAGGAGAACTACAAACCACTGCTCAATGAAATAAAAGAGGATACAAACAAATGGAAGAACATTCCATGCTCATGGGCAGGAAGAATCAATATCGTGAAAATGGCCGTACTGCCCAAGGTAATTTATAGATTCAATGCCATCCCCATCAAGCTACCAATGACTTTCTTCACAAAATTGGAAAAAACTACTTTAAAGTTCATATGGAACCAAAAAAGAGCCCGCATCGCCAAGTCAATCCTAAGCCAGAAGAACAAAGCTGGAGGCATCACGCTACCTGACTTCAAACTATACTACAAGGCTACAGTAACCAAAACAGCATGGTACTGGTACCAAAACAGAGATATAGATCAATGGAACAGAACAGAGCCCTCAGAAATAATGCCACATATCTACAACTATCTGATCTTTGACAAACCTGAGAAAAACAAGCAATGGGGAAAGGATTCCCTATTTAATAAATGGTGCTGGGAAAACTGGCTAGTCATATGTAGAAAGCTGAAACTGGATCACTTCCTTACACCTTATACAAAAATTAATTCAAGATGGATTAAAGACTTAAACGTTAGACCTAAAACCATAAAAACCCTAGAAGAAAAACCTAGGCAATACCATTCAGGACATAGGCATGGGCAAGGACTTCACGTCTAAAACACCAAAAGCAATGGCAACAAAAGCCAAAATTGACAAATGGGAAAACACAGAATTTTAAGTGAAGAAACCTGGCAAATCCAAATATTGCTCCTATTTGTATATTTGATCATCTGCTCAATAATCAAGTTTAGTATTAACTGTAGTGATACGGGTCTACATTATGTAGCTCTTGATGTGCACGTCATTTCTACAAAGATTACATGGTTTGAATCGATCGTGCAGACACACCAGATAGAGCTAAGTTGAGGGTCATTCTACAGGATGTAAAGCCTCTTAAAAACTGTCAAGAATATGGAAAACAGTAAGAGGAACTGTTCCAGATTGAAGAAATATGAAGAGACATGACAACTAAATGTAACGCATTCCTGAAGGGCATCCTGGACAAGAAAGGAAAAAGAGACCTTGTTGGAACAGTTGAAACGTGAATCATGCCTATGGATTGGATTGTTGGATTGTAGTGTTGTATCAATGTTGACTCCTGATTTGGAGGTTTGAGTGCTAATTATATAGGAAAATATCCTTGTTTACGGGAAACATTGACTAGAATGTTTAGAAGTTGTAGGACACTGCATCTTTAGCTTGTTTTTATAGGTTGGGAAAAAGGTCTAATAATAAGTAGGGTGTGTGTGTGTGTGTGTGTGTGACAGAGACAGACAGAGACACAGGAAGACAGAGACAGGAAATGAGAGAACGAAAAAGATGAGAAAATGCAATAAAATAGGAACAATTGGAGAGTCTGGGTGAAAGAGATGAGAGTTCTTTTTGTTATGGCAACTTATCTATAAGTTCAAAATTGTTTCAAAGTGAGTTATAAAAAATTATATTTCCATTATTACACACCTCTTATAAGCACCCTCAACACTCAAACCGCCATTGTTTCCATTGCACAAAATGATTTTTTAAAGCAACTCAAAAGTAAACTCAGACACAGCAAACGTGGTGTAGACAGAGAAACCAAAACAAAACAAAAGCTTCAAAGGTACAAATTAAACTGAGCAATGTAAGGCCTCGTGCTACCTGCTACTGATGCACAGGCAGAGTAAGCATGTTTTTCCTCTGAATCATAGCTTTGAGCAAGTCTGTAAATGTAAATATAATATCAATTCTTTTGTATTTTTGAGGCTTGTTTTATGGCCCAGTATTTAGCAAATATTTGTATATATTTTGTGTGTTTTTGACAAGAATGCATATTGGGAAGGTCAAATGCTATGTCTATGTCCATGATATCAAACATGTTGATTGTGTTGTTTAAATCTCCTAAATTCCTTACCGATCTCTGTTGCTTGATCTATTAGTTACTAAATTCTAGATCATACATCAGCCTACTAAACCACCACCTTGAACATCTTAAAAACATCTCAAATGTGTCCTACCTGAGCTCCACATCTTCTCCAAAATACCTGCTTCTCCCACAGTCTTCCCCATTTCAGTTAATGACAACATTATCCTTCTAGTTTCTCAGGACAAAAACCCCATAGTTACCCTTGATTCCTCTCCTTCTTTCTTACCCACATGTGATCTTTCAATTTTTCAAAATATATTTGAAATATGACTTTTCACTACCTCCACTGCTACTTCTCTGATACAAGCCACCATCACTTCTTACCAGTATTATAGTAATAACCTCTTGATAGGGAGTGCCCTGTTCCCACATTTGCATTCGTCACTGTATTCTCAGTGCAGCAACCAAAGCGATATTGTTTAACTTCCATCAGATGATGACACTCCTCTGCTCAAAGCTTTCCAATGATTTCCCATCTCATTCTTATAAGACAGTCTTGATGGATGTAATAGCCATAATATGTAGAGAGACAATTTTCTACTGGTCTGTCATGTTTCTACACAAGTTTTTTTTCAACTTTTATTTTAGATTCAGGAGGTACATGTGCAGGTTTGTTACAAGAGTGTGCTGCATGATTCTAAGGTTGGAGGTACAATTGAACCCAGTCACCCAGGTAGTGAGCATAGTACTCAATATAGTTTTTCAACCCTTACTCCCATCTGCCTCGTCCCGATTTTGTAGTTCCCAGTGTCAATTGTTCCCATCTTTATGTCCATGTGTATCCAATGTTTAGCTCCCACTTATGAGAACACACAGTATTTGGTTTTCTGTTTCTGTGTTAATTTGCTTAGGACAATTGCCTCCACCTGCTGATTAAAGGTACTGGCTGTTTTTGTTCTTGGCTATCTTTTCAAATATGTTTGTGTAGAAAATATTCTTGGAAGACAGGGATAATGTCTTCCTTTGGAGCAAGAAGCCAGTTTGCTTACTGCCTTATAAGATGGAGATACTGTCTTCATTTGGAGCAAAAAGCAAGCATGCTCACTGCCCATTATAAAAATATTTGGATCTCTAACCTCAGACTTCCTCCCCAAGCAACCCAATGCATGTTTATAACGTGGTCCGTGAGAGAACTGAGGTTCATAGAATTGAGTAAAAAATGCTGATACTTTGGCTACTGCTAATGCTGTAATAAACTTTCCTTTGTCTCTGGAGTTTCATGTCTCTTACTAGCATCATTGAAAATGTTGCAAGCACATAGATACAGCTGGAGGCCATTATCGTAAGCAAATTAATACAGGAGCAGAAAACCAAATACCACCTGTTCTCACTTATAGGTAGGAACTAAACACTGAGTACAAACAGATATAAAGATGGGAACAATAGGCACTGGGGTCTACTAGAGGGGGTAGGGAGGGAGGGGCACAAGGGCTGAAAAACTACCTATTGGGTACTATGCTTACTACTTGGGTGATGGGATCAATTGTACGCCAAACCTCAGCATCATGCACTTTACCCATATAACAAACTTGCACATGTACCCTTGGACCTAAAATACAAGTTGAAATTAAAAGGAAAAGAAGAGAAGTTGCAGGCTAGTAAGTTAGCTAGCCAGTAGGTGAAAGTCTCAGAACCTTCCCAGTCTTTGAGAATGTGATCTGGTCCCCATAACCTCTCTGACTTTATCTATTAAAACTCTCCCCTTCCTTAACACTCGTCCAGTCACACTGCCCTCCTTCCTGTTCTTTAATCATGGTAGGAACCCTATCACCCCAGGGTTCATTATTCCCTCTATCCTCAAAGAGCCACTTGGCCCAATTCTTTACCTCCTTGAGGTGTTTATTCAAATACCACCTTCTTCATAATGCCTTTCCTGCCCCCACATGCATACATGCCTTTCTCCTTTCCCTGTTTTTCTAAGATGTATCAACATATATTCACTATTTAAACATACATCATATATTTAGTTTACCAACATGTTTATTTAATTTACTATTTCCATCCACAAGGATGACAGCACAAATAATTTTTGTTTGTTTTACTGTTATGTCCCGGACAGGTAGCCAAAATACTTCAACTTCTGTGAACCTAGTGAACGTGTTGGCACAAACCTTTGCCTATGGTGAAATAGGGAGGGTTGCCAATGGTCACTAAATCTAAAAGATGGATAGCCAATCAGGAAATATTAATTTACGGTTTCAGAATACATGTGGAATATTTTCACCACAAAGTGATCATTTTTAGGAGTTGATAGACATACAAGAAATAATTGGGCGTATCTCAATGACTAATCACTGGTATGTCCACCTCAATTTTTCTCTTGACTTTATTTTAATCTATAAAATAAACATTTGAGTCATACTAAGCATAGTCATTTTTCCTGTTCTAGTTTATCCTTGAAGCTGCTAAATAAAAATGTACCTCTTTTTGAAATGACATCTTGCACCAATATTTTGAATGTGTATTATTATTAGAAAATGCAATCCTCCCCAGTACTTTGTTACTGAATACTTAATCAAATAATAAGCTATTAGAGCTGAAGCCTTTCTTGTTATATAAAAAATATGTATTGAGCATCTTCTCAAAACATACAATGTCAGAGCTATTAATAAAATTCATTTCTTTTGAGGTTTAGTTCAGTGACATTTACATATAATTTCAGCATGTGTCACTTCTTTGGAAAAGCACGAGTTAGGAGGTCAGCTGTTTTATGATACGCTCACATGTGCACAGATAATTCTCAACTCCTGCACTGACCCAGTATCAGCAATAGTTTCAGCAAAAGCTTCCTCTTGAAATACAATTCGAGCTCCTCCCCACTGGGTAACAGGGAACCCTCTCATCATGCTGTTGTTGACTGAACTCTTCCATTCTTGAGACCCCCCCTCCCAGATGTTAAATCCAGCCAAAGGAAAGCAGCAAAGCCAAATAGGTACTACCACAAAACCTAGCCTTATAGGTGTTTTTTATCTGCATTCTTCATTCTGTTCAATATTTCCTACAAACACTTCCTCAAGAGGGAGAGGGAAAATATTACTTGTAAGATGCTAAAAGTGTGTATCAAATACAAACAAAGAGGACAAACTATTAATTTTTGAAAAATATTAGCTATCTGCTTATAACATAAAGCTTGATTTCTAGCTCAAACTATTCACAATACTATGAGCCACATAAGTTAAAGGCCTATAAATTTAAAAACATACAAATTTATGGTAAAAAAATATAGAATGCAAAACTAGAATCTCTGAGGGAAAAATATAGATGATTATACATAACTATGTGTTGAGTAATGTTTTTAAATAAGACAAAACAAGTAAATTGTAAAAGACCAAGAATATTGGTAAATACAAACTTAAAAATTTTGAATAGCATACCATAAGTAAAGTTGAAAGAAAAATGACAAATATGAGGATATACTTGCAATAGATATAAGAAAGGATTAGGACTCAGAAGACATTTTAAAAATTGCAAATCGAATTTAAAAACATACAACAGACATAAACAAAAAAGTCACAGAAAAACACAAATGGCCAATATTCACACGAGAAACTCAACTTCACTTGTAATCAGCAAAATGCAAATTAAAATAAAATGGAATCATTATGACTGCTAAAAACTTAAAATTTCAATAATCTCAAGTGTGCTTGAGGATATATATAAGGATATTCTGTCACCCTCTGCTGGTTGTGGACACTTTAGAGTGTAGTTTGGTGGCATCTATTAACTCTAAAAATGAACACAGACCATCACACTGCGATTCCATTTCTCACATGTTTAAAACGAGATATAATTAAGTATGTTTATCAGTATTAGTAATAACAAAATAATTTTTTTTGAAGTGGAGTCTTGCTCTGTCACCAGGCTAGAGTGCAGTGGTGCGATCTCAACTCACTGCAACCTCTGCCTCCCAAGTTCAAGCGATCCTCCTGCCTCAGCCTCCTGAATAGCTGGGGCTACAGGTGCGCACCACCATGCCCAGCTAATTTTTTGTATTTTTAGTAGAGACGGGGTTTCATCATGTTGGCCAGGTTGGTCTCGATCTCTTGACCTCGTGATCCGCCCACCTTGCCCTCCCAAAGTGCTGAGATTACAGGCATGAGCCACCATGCCCAGACGATAACAAAATAATTTCAAGCAACTCAAAACATGGCAACATGGCAGTGGTTAAGTAAATTGTGGTATAATTAATCTAAGATAATCAAACTATGACAAATCCAGTAGTAAAAGCCAGTGCATCTGAAGTTTAAAGAAAAGGAGGAAAAGTAGCATCATATTTCCATGTAGATTGTTCATTGAACATCTCCAGGGAACACTATTCACATAAATTACAATGTGATGACTTCCCCTTGGGGTTATGCAGTGCACCATATGCACAATGGTGGGAATGTTGGGAATTTAACAGGAGGCCAAATCATGCAAAGCTCCAGAGGCTATGGTAAAGAATCTGCATTTTATTCTAAGTAAAATCCCTGAAGGGTTTAAAGAGGGCAATGAATTGATGTTTTCAAAAGGTTTCTCTGGCAGATATATAAAATGTATGTGAAGAGATTAAGACAAAAAGTAAAAAGATCAATGAGGAGTACATTGCAATGGTCTAATCAAGAGTTGATAGTGGCATCAACTTGGATGGTGGCAGTGGTAATAGAAAGATGGGGCAAATATGAAATATATCATGCAGCTATAATCTATTAATGCATTATATTGGGAAACATAAAGGAAATTTTGGAAACAGCACAATCAAATTGATTACCAAGTTTCTACATGGGGCTTTGAATGGGTGGTGGGACCATTTGCTGATCTGAGGAAGGCTGAGGGAAGAGTATCTTTCAGCAGTACAACTTCAAACATGTTAAGTTCGATATAACTCATATAGCCAAAACAAATAATCAATAAGAGAGATGACTATATAAAACTGAAGCTGACAGAAGAGGTTTAGATAGACGTAAATTTTCAAGGAGTTATCATATGTATAGGTATTTCTTAAAGTCATGGAATTAGATGAGAGGTCACTAATGGAAAGAAAAGAAGAGAGATGGGCTATGGAAAGCCCTGAGGAATTATAAAATTTATAAGACAGGGGCACATGAAGCTAGAGAGATAGGGTGGGAAACCAGGAGAAATGGAATACAACTGAAAATAGCCTAGTTACCCTTCAATGAGGGAACTGCTAAGGAAATCATCCTATATCCATTTTATAAAATATTATGCCACAAAATAGAGTCAACTGCTCTTTGACAAAAGAGGAAGAAGAATAAAATGGGGAAAGGATAATCTTTTCGACAAATGATGCTAGAAGAAATGGACATCCACATGCAAAAAGAAAAAAAAAAAAGAATCTAGACACAGACATGACATCTTTCACAAAATTTAACTCAAAATGGATTCAAGGCCTAAATGTAAAATAAAAAACTATAAAACTCCTAGAAGAAAATATAAGAGAAAATCTAGATGACTTTGAGTTTGATGATGAGTTTCTAGATGCCAACCAAAGGCAGAATCCATGAAAGAAAAAAATTGATAAATTAGATTTCATTAAAATTAAAAAACTAATCTGTCAAAGACACATGAAAGAGAGTGAGAATACAAGCCACAGACTGGCAGAAAATATTTGCAAAATATATATCTGATAGAGAACTGCTATCCAAAGTAAACAAGGAATTCTTAAAATTCAACACAAAAATTAACTCAATTTTTAAAATGGGCAAAATATCTAAACATAAACCTCACTACAGAAGATATTCAGATGGCAAATGAGCATATGAAAATGCTCAACATCTTACATCATTAGGAAATTACAAATTATAATAATTGGATAACACTAGATACTTTTTCGAATAGCTAAAACCCGAACACTTATCACCTAAAGCCAGCAAGGATATGGAACAATAGGAACTCTCATTCATTACTGGTAATGCAAAATTGTACAACAATTTTGGAAGACAATTGGGCAGTTTCTTACAAAACTAAAAATGCTCTTACCATATGATCAAGCAATTGTGTTCCTTGGTATTTGTCCAAAGGAGCTGAAAACTTGTGTTCAAACTGTATGATTCCAACTATATGATATACTGGAAAAGGCAAAACCATGAAGTCAGTAAAAAAAGATCAGTGGTTGCCAGGGTGGAGGGAGAGTCAAATAGGCAAGCAAAGAGGATATGATGTATGATTTTATGTATGATACTGTAATGGTAAATAAATTTCACAACGCATTTGTCAAAATCCATAGAATGTACGTGAAGAGTGAATCCTATGTAAATGATGAACTTATGTGATAATGATGTGTCAATATAGAGTCATCCATTTAACAAATGTACTCTAGTGGGCAATACTGACAGTGGAGAAGGCTGCGCATGTGTTGAGACAAGGGGTATATGGAAACCCTAATACTTTCCACTCAGTTTTGCAGTGAACCTAAAATGGCTCTGAAAAAATAAAGTGTACTTTTAAAAATACCTTCCATGTATTTAAAAGAAGTGATAGGCAAAATATGCTAATATCAGTTTCACAAAGATAGATGGAAAAAAGCAATTACTTATGCATAGTTTATATAAAATGTGGTTTTATTTAAAATAAATCAAGTATTAGATATATGCATATGTTAATTGTATGTGTATTTTTTTAAAGTCTGGCTACATGTACAATAAACTTAACAGTAATTCTTGGGATTAAGAGAGGAGAAACAATGAAATTTCACTTAAAAAATGTTATACACTTTTATATTGTTTGTCTTATAATAAACATGTATTAATTTAGCAATATTTTAAAAAGTTTCAAAAGGACACTCACATTTTAAATCACCCTTGTGTTCTTAAAATTTTAACCAGATTTTATGAAAATGTGGTCCAAGGAACCCCTATGTCAGAAACACCAGGAGGGTTTATTAAAAATGGGGATGCTTTCTGAATCCCATCCCAGCATTTTTTTTTTTTACGACAGGGTCCCACTCCGTCGCCCAAGCTGGAGTGCAGTGGTGCCATCTCAGCTTACTGCAACCTCCACCCCCACCTCCACCCCCACCTCCACCTCCCAAGCTCAACTGATCCTTCCACTTCAGCCTCCCCAGTAGCTGGGACCACAGGCATTCGCCACCATGCCCAGCTAACATATATATATATATTTTTTTTTTTTTTTTTTTTTTTTTTTTTTTTGAGAGATGGTGTTTCGCCATGTTGCTCAGGCTGGTCTCAAACTCCTGAGCTCAAGCAATCCTCCAGCCTCAGCCTCCCAAAGTGCTGGGATTACAGGAGTGAGCCACCGTGCCCAGCCTCCATCCTGGCTTTAATAAATCAGGCCCTCTAGGAATGAGGTATAGCGCTTTGCATTCTTGGCAACACGATCAGGTGATTCTAACCTCTACCCTTCTGAATAGCAATAAGTCGAAATGAATGAGTACAGTTTTTTAAAAAAAATCAGCAAATGCCAACACCTCTTGGATAAACACCTACCAATTATTCAATCTAAAGTAAAAGGAGCCGTTAGCATACGCCTGGTCCACAGAGCAGGGAGAAAACTAAATAACTAGATTAATGGCTAAGCTATGTCCTGAACCAGGGCGCACTCTAAGAAGCACTGTAACATTATAAGAAAAGAAGAAGGAATATAGATTTCATAGGGATAAAAACTGGCCAAATGTGCAGAACTTTCCATCTCCCTCTCATAATTCCCATTGGGTCAGTTATACACAGAAGCAAAAAAAAAAATCAATATATTATGCCTTATAATATATCCTGACTCAATTATACTCTGTATTTGAATCAGAAATATAGAGGCTGAAGAATAACTTATAAAGTGTTGTCCTCTATCTTCCAACATTTGAACTTTCTGAAAGCATTATAAATGTAAGACATTTCCAAGAATTTCAGCTATGCATCTGATCCCTCTATATAATGCAATCTAGAGCAGAAGATTTGTGTCAGATAGTATCGGCCAAAAAGGCATAGTTACCAGAAGCAAGAGAAGGCTTTTCAGTAAGTGACTTCGTTACAAAACCCTAAAGTTAGTGGAATTAAAACAGACTCACAAAGTTACCAAGGTTTGATGTACTCACCTACAAGCAACTCTTGGGCGATAAATCCTGAAATTACAAAATTACATAAGCAGTTTATTGTATTTATGAGCAATGTTTTTTAATCCAGCAGATAACTCCCAGAGTTCTCTTTCTCTCCTTCCCTCAGCTTTATCCATAAGTGATCCATCTTTCAGAAGCAATGAGTTATCCTGGATGTCTTTTGCTTCCTTTCATGTTCGAAAAAAGACACATATTCAATTGCAGTTTCAGCCTCTCGCTGCAGATGGTATCCTATTTTATGCTGCACAACACTTAAAAGCCCAATCAGGTAAGATTGGCAGGCTGTTTGTTTGCAGAATGAATTCCTAATAGTCTATTAAGTAATGTATGATAGTGTTTGTGTCACCTAGTATTTAAATATGTAAACATTTGATGCTTTTATGTTCTATTGTCACTGCAAGTGTATGCGTATGAATTTAGAAGCCCTAGATATTCTAATAAAATAGCAACAGATTTGTTGGAATTAAAGTTTGCAAAATCTAAATATAGTATATGCTCAACTTAAAAACAATACCATCAAAAAAGACATTAAAGCCATGCACGATAGTACTATGTCAAAGGAGACAAAATATGCATATAAAAGATTTTTTAAAAGGAAGGCATGGCTGATACATTTCCTGTAGATTCAACCACATTTATAGCTCCAAAAATTCTCTTTAAGTTGTTCTGTCATCCAAACAGTAAACCCAGGATTTGTGTTCTGAAATGCTTACAAAAACATTTTAGGATTTTAAAAGGTACATATTTATCATAAAATATGAAATAAAGTATCCAATTAGTGTTTTAAAATTTAATTTTTTAGGTTTTACTTTACCCTTGATATCCATTTTCATTCATTTCTCCAAAATTCTGACAAAGACATCTGCACATATAGTTACATCTCTATTGCTAAGTATTTTTAAAATCTTACATTTGACTTTCTTTGATCTTGTCTCTCAGAAAATGAGAAACAATTTTGATATTGAGAAATAATTACATTTGCTAAATTTCACATCATTAGCAAAAATGGTGCTCTAATGATCATAATCTAAGTAGTTCTTATAGAAGTGTCTTGACTTGCTTCTAAATGATAAGAATATCAGGGAATTCGACCAAAGTGGTTCCACCTCAATGCACTTCTGAAATACCCTCAAAATAATTTCAAAGAGAAAAAGTACAATTGAGCTATAAAATACAGCTCAGAAGAAATTTGTTCTCCTGAGATATTTGGTTTTAAATTCATGATTAAATCTCCCTGTGAAAATGTCAAATAGGAGAACCACATACAAACATAAATTTTCTATTTATAAATCAAGAGACATTAAAAGACAATCAGCTTCAGTTATATTGCTAATAAAACTCAAAATTAATGTTAAGTGGGACCTATGTAAGAGGGCAGAAAATCAAGGTATATTCAGGATTGTGACTGGCTGGGAATATTGTACTACAGTTTTATAATCAGTACAACGATACATATTTGTTTGTGTATATGAAATATAAAGCTCATACACACTAATACACATAGGAGGGCAAGAGCACATCTTCTTACATCTGTTATTCAATGCATGTAGTTCAAGACAATCAAGAGTTTCCTTTTTTATGCCATCAGACACTACTTACAGAGATTCATTAGTTTCACACGATTGATGCTGCATTTGACACTTATATAAGAAAATCATGAAAATTTTTAAATATTAAAAATATAAGTTCTACATGCTTAAACCTAGATTAACCAAAAACAATTATCAGATGAAAGGCATAAACTTATTTTTTAGTAATCAAGTGATATAACAAGTTTATTTGAAGTCTCTCATTTATTTAAGGTTGCAGAAAATGCAGCTGACAGTCCTGTACTTTGTACCTTCTCTAAGAACTGTGCCTGATGTAAACATTAACCAAGTCTTCATAGTTGATCCTCTGCTAAGAGGACCTATTAGTAAAAACTAACCAAACAATACACAAAGTTAAAATCCAAAAATTTTAATAAAAGCAGCCAATGTGGTTTTCACATATTGAAAACCAAATTCTAAATTAACATGGTTTCTGTATCTCTTTAGAGGTTAATAATTTGAGTACTCTCAAGTAGTGTAAAATTTAAAACAAAATGATAACTTGAAAATTATACTAGATGATCTCAGATCTCTGATTTTTGAAAGATATTTTAAAGAAATAAGACTCTGGTCCCTTTTCATCTATTTCTGCTAAAAATTTAACACCTTTAAAAGATTTTTGATATATAAAAATTATCAACATTTTGTTAAGCACAAATTAATCAAAGCCTGAATTCATCTGATATAGTTATAATCCTCCCAACGTGTATAAAAAGGCCTAGTCATTGCAATGTGAAGTTAAAACATACTCAAATAATTAAACTATATTAAAAATATATAAATAAGTTTAAATTACCATTGCTTTCCTTTTCTACAGAAAAAAATGTATATACAATTCCCCTGATATGCTGATTCTGTAGTCTCTTCACAAATATTAGGTCCTACAAGGTTTCTCTTATCTATAATAAAGCACGGTGGGATAGCAGATGATGAGGTAGAAACAATAGCAGAACAAAGGTGGGAGAAGCCTCAGCCATGGTTGAGTGGGCATTAAATAGCCAAAGTGAATTCATTTATGATCTTTATCCTATTTGAGCTCTGTTTCTTGTAAGGACTGTTCATTACATTTTCTTACTCTAATGCGAATCCAAGGCCAGGTGCAGTGGCATATGCCTGTAATCCCACCACTTTGGGAGGCCGAGGTGGGCGGATCACCTGAAGTCAGGAGGTCAAGACCAGCCTGGCCAACATGGTAAAACCTCGCTCTACCCAAAATACAAAAATTAGCCGGCCGTGATGGCCAGTGCCTGTAGTCCCAGATACTCGGGAAACTGAGGCAGCCCGGGAGATGGAGGTTGCAGTGAGCCGAGATTGCACCATTGCACTCCAGCTTGGGGGACAGAGCAGGACTCTGGTCTCAAAATAATAATAATAATAATAATAATAATAATAATAATAATAATAATAATGCCAATGTGTACTTATGACCCATAACTAGAGCATCATATCCTAACGCAATGAAATTTAAAAGTCTATGATTTTTTAAGCTAATACAGCTTTTAGCTTCCATAGCCACAGAAAGAAAACTTTTTGTCAATTTTTCGTAAGAACATACTAGCTGAGTTAAAATAATCCTTTCTTCGCAGAAGCTATCCTTGCTCTTTCTTCTGGTTGGCAACATGACCAGTGATAGTATAGATCACAGCTTCAGCTTTCCTAATCATTTCTTAGATATTTTTTATTCTAATGTAGCTCTTCACTATAAAATTGTTTACTACAGGAACACTCTACAACACAAGGAGCAAGAAAAGCTTCCTCCATAATCTTGCAAAAGATAACTGGTTTGTGTTCACTTGCAGGCCACAAAGTATATTTAGGTTGCTATAAATTTTTTGAACTTAATTATCAATTATGTTTACTTGTTCCAGTTTTTGGTGGTATAACCCAATGTATATTTTTTCTTTCCTAATCTGAAAGTTTATAATGTTGCTTCTCTTTCCTTATAGTTAAAAATGCTATACATGTTAGAAATTATGCAAATAAACTGAGTTTCTTTGTTATGAATTTTTAAAACAATTTTCATGTCATTATAGGAAAAAAGTTTTTGCTTTCAAGCTAAAACTATTATTTGAGAAATATTCTGAGTCATCTCAACCCACAACCCTACAAACGTATTTCTTTATTTAATAATTATTTAGCATCTATTTATGGGCCAGATACCGTTTTGGGTGCTGGGAATCAACTGTTGGACCAAACCAAACACAGACCCTGTTCTCATAAAGCTTACAACCTAGTGGATAAAGCAGCTGTTAACCAAATATCACATATGTAACGACATAGTATACTCACTAAAAATTCCCTATGAGGAAAATAAAGCTAGAGAACGTAGTTTGATAGGTGAAGAACTATAGAGCTGCCAAACATTCCAACCAGTCTAGAATGGCTTGGTATAGACCACAATGGAGAATAGAAGGAAAGAACACCATTTGCAGGAGGGAGGTGTGGAAATAGGCACTCTGGAGGGAGGAAGAAGTAGTGTAGCATAATGCCGAATATCCCTGGATGAGAAAAGAAAAAGGTTGGGAAATTTCAGAGGGAGAAGAAAATGTTTCGTGGAGACTTCTGCGTGGTTCATTATTAATAAGTCATTTTGCTATCCTCTTCAAGCAATCTTACAGTGAAGAACATGCTTTTTCCAAGCTTGCAGAATTGCCTTTACTTTTCTTCTGAATGCCTCATTGCAACTTCAGATGCTGGATGGTATTTGTTCCTATTTCTTCACACGACTATATAATTATAAAATGAGATATACTGTAATGGAGGGAAACCTAGTGATATTAAGGCACTGACAGAAAAAAATTCCTGACCAGCTCTGGGAAATCAAGGAAAACTTCTCTGAGGAAGTGACACTTGATCTGAAACCTGAAGGACAGGTAGGAGTTATCTAGTTGAGGTGGAATGGGGTGGCGGAGTGTTCCTAGAAAACAGGCGAATGAAATCCTTAATTAACAAAGTCAGTGTTGTTGAAGTAAAGAGAGTGTAAGGATGGGGAAAGAGAACATTCCAGGTAAGGTTGGAGAGACAGGAAAGGAGCCAGGAATGTGCAGAGAATTTATAGGTACCTAGCCTGACAATAGTGAATGCCATTAAATGGTATCATAAGGAACAGGCTTTCATTTGAAGAAAAACCTCACTTTAACTTACTACCACAATATATTCATTCAATGAGAACTGTCCACAACTAGAGAAAATTTATGTAGCCAATTGCTGAACAAAATGAAAGAATACAGGATATATGCATTTTGCTCTGTGAGTGGAAACAAAACTAACACAATTGTGCTCAAGATCTGTTACTTTTTTCCCCATAACTAAAACTTATCCAACTTGGCCAGAAACAGCAAAAGTTTTCAATGGAAACTTTTACTGTTGCTAATCAAACTTACTGTTTGCTTTCTTGCAGGTGATTTTTTATGCATCTCTTTAGTAAATAGTTCCGTTCAACTTCGCTACAACCTTGGCGACAGAACTATCATTCTAGAAACTCTCCAAAAAGTAACTATAAACGGAAGTACTTGGCATATAATAAAAGCAGGAAGAGTTGGTGCAGAAGGCTACCTGGATCTAGATGGGATAAATGTAACAGAAAAGGCCTCCACTAAAATGAGTTCTCTGGACACAAATACAGACTTCTATATTGGAGGAGTATCTTCTTTAAATCTTGTAAATCCCATGGCAATAGAAAATGAACCTGTAGGTTTTCAAGGCTGTATCCGACAAGTTATCATAAATAATCAAGAATTACAATTAACTGAATTTGGAGCAAAAGGTGGCTCAAATGTAGGTGACTGTGATGGGACAGCCTGTGGGTACAACACATGCAGAAATGGAGGTGAATGTACAGTAAATGGCACAACTTTTTCTTGCAGATGTTTGCCAGATTGGGCTGGAAATACATGTAACCAGTCTGTGTCCTGTTTGAATAATCTTTGCCTCCACCAATCTTTATGTATACCTGACCAATCATTTTCTTACAGTTGCCTGTGTACTTTGGGTTGGGTGGGAAGGTATTGTGAAAACAAAACTTCATTTTCAACTGCAAAATTTATGGGTAATTCTTACATTAAATACATTGATCCAAATTATAGAATGAGAAACCTCCAGTTCACTACTATATCCTTAAATTTCAGTACCACTAAAACAGAAGGTCTAATTGTATGGATGGGAATAGCTCAAAATGAAGAAAATGATTTTCTGGCAATTGGTCTCCATAATCAGACCTTGAAAATAGCAGTTAACTTGGGAGAAAGAATCTCTGTGCCTATGAGCTATAACAATGGCACATTCTGTTGTAATAAATGGCACCATGTAGTTGTAATTCAAAATCAGACTCTTATCAAGGCCTACATAAATAACAGTCTAATTCTTTCCGAGGATATTGATCCACATAAAAACTTTGTGGCTCTAAACTATGATGGCATTTGTTATCTAGGGGGCTTTGAATATGGTAGAAAGGTAAATATCGTTACTCAAGAGATTTTTAAAACCAATTTTGTTGGCAAAATTAAAGATGTTGTATTTTTTCAGGAACCAAAAAACATTGAACTAATTAAATTAGAAGGATACAATGTTTATGATGGAGATGAACAAAATGAGGTTACATAAGTTAACACTAGAGATTTTAGTACACACTATACATAAATGCAGTTATTTTGATAGTTATTTCTTTGATACATTGCTTACGGGGAATCAACTGTTTACTATATTACCTGAAATAGTCTAAATGCTAACATATCTTTTTGATAAGATTGTAAAATGTCACTGAAGGTTCTGATTGTTTTTCCTACATCTAATTTATCTGTATATATTTTGATTCATGTTTTAACTCCATTAGTTCAGTGCTTATTCACAGAATGTGCTTATTCACTTTGCTTATTCACTTTTTACCTATCCCTAATGCTTACATTTTAAAATCAACGTGTAAACACAATTTTAAAAATCAATGTGTAAGCTGAACTTTAAAATGTTTAAAATTCAGTTGGGAATGAATTAGGGATAGGTACAAATAAGAAAAAAATCAAGTTATTAATCAAAGGAAAAATAAAAATTATACAAAGCAATGTAACCATATTGTATTACATGGCTTAGCTACAACTTATTTATATGATTCAACAATGTAAAACTTGAACATAGATTTAAACCAAAAATTATTGCATGAATGTAGAAAGAGAAGGTGAGAGGAGAGGAGAACAGGCTGGTAAGAGCTAAATCCTTATCTTTTATAGTAAGACATCAATAGATATTACAATATGTGCAACTTAAAACATAGCATATGCATATCACAAACATGAAGGCAAATATCCTAAATATCTAAAAGAATTAAAAATGGTTGCCTCTGGAGAGAAGAGTAGTGCAGAAGCCTGTTGCTTTTTGCTTATGAACCTTGTAGAACTATTTGACTTTTTAAAACCATGTACTCATATTAACTGATCAAATTAAAAAATTAACCTTAATTTGTGTTTAACTGCTTTCAAGTCTATACAGATCTCAAAATTGGGCATAAAATAGGTTCTAAACAATGCCATGGAAAATTACTATCCTAACAATTTAGTACTGTTGATAGCATAACTTGAAAAAATATTATTTTTCCCAAAACAGTTACTGATACAATTGTGAACAGAACTTTCACTTCCCACTCCCAGTCCACCACTGCAGGTTGGAAAGCAGTTACTGCTGTTGTTACCTGACATTTTCTGAGTTTGATATCTGTGATAATTTTGCCACTTGGCAACCGGCAACATATGACTGACTTGGTGAACTAACAGGTAGAATAGGTCATCTGGAGAAAAAAATCTTAGTAATAAGCAGCATGTAATGTTCAAAAGGAAAAATATGAAATTAATCATCAAGTAATTAGAGAAAAGATTTACAAAAAATAAGGGCTGATGAATACACATTTCTGTGCAGATTCCAGTCTATACAAAGTAACGAGGTAGTAATTTATCATTCAAAAACTATTAGAGATTTTTGTCTTATTTTAGCCACTCCATTCCAATCAAAAGGCTACAGACATTCCTAAAAGGACCTACGACCAGAGTTAAGAATGTCAACACCATTTGACAGGGCACAAATGTTTCCAAACATACAGTTCATATTAATACTAGGAAGTGTGAGGGTAGAATATAAGGTAGAATTGCAGAATGTTTACACATTGATTCAAAGGTTTGTTTTTTTAACGGAAACCACTTAAAACAACTCCATCAAATTTTGCTGAAAAACTGTGACCTAAACTGGTATTGCTCCATACTATTGCATTTAACTTTGGAGATACTCAGATCATAAGGATAAATGCTCTGAAGAAATTCCTTTTGGCAGCTGGTAATCAAATCTAACCTTTCAGAAAACATACTTTATGTATAAAAAGAAGGCTGTTTTATGAAAGCTTACAAAAGAAGAAACTGCCTGAACCACACTCCCATCATATTCGGCCATGTGTTCTCTCATAATAAAGTGTGCCTTTTCTTTAAAATAGCACTTCCCAAACTATGGTCCAAGAACCCCTGCGATCTTTTCAAGGAATCCAGAGTCCTCCCTTTCCCAAAAACAAATGCACATATAGCCAGATTTTCTTCATATATTTCAAATAAAATGACATACTACAAAACACTGAATGCAGGGCAGGTAAGAGAATCCAGCCCTAAGTCAGAAATTGGAAATATGCAAAAATCAAGACAATGACACTCTTCTTACTAAATTAGTTTGGAAGTTAACTTTTATATAAATGTTACATTAACAGATGAGATTATCATTAACAAATATTTTTAACGTTTATCATTTGATTTTCTAGTATGCTAAATAATGATATAAGCCATATAAACAAAAGCTTTGACATTCTCAATTTTTAAGAGTGTAAGGGGTCTTGAAAACAAAAGTTTGAGAATTGCTGCCTTAAAGCTTTTCACAGTTGCAATTTTACGTTCAGATTTTATAACTTTTCTACCTGTAATCTCCACAAAATTGGAACTTTCCCATTTTGCTCATCATTGAATTCCAAACGCAGAAAATTGTGCTTGCAGAATAGGCAGACAATATTTAAGAACTGAAAACTGCTGCCTTTTCTCCTATAAATCAAAATGACTTGAAAATATATTTTTCACCTTAAAATCCTGGAAAGTTCATGTAACAAATCAACACTATTCCCGCTTCCTATTTTTGCTATCCTGGTGATAATGGTGTTGACGATTTCCTATGTGAAATGCTTTTCCAGTACGAAATAAAAATGATTGGCTACAGAAAGACCTTTAAGATTTTACTATAAATGTATGAGGTTTCTCAAAGTGTTGAATGTAAACGGAACATTTTTTAAAAATAAGGTGCAGTAATATTTACCTTTTTGGTCTCCTTATAAATAATAAGTTCCTGAAAAAAATCATTACTTTGAGGACAAAATTATCTTAAAATAAGGAGTTTTAAAAGACAGCTTGGGCTAACATATATGTATATATACACACATGGACATGCACACACTGAATTATTTCATAGAAAAAGTATTTTGGGGATATTTAGAGTTATATTGGATTCACTGCCCTTTGAGTGCTTAGGCTATTTCCCTCAATGACTCTGCTCTGCATCTATCTATAAGATGAAACTTGACATGGTGAACTCAAGTTTTCAAAGGACTTCTTGCTACTGATCTGTTTTCAACTCACTACTTTTTTGCTCTACATATTACTATAATTGTGAAACAGAAATCAAAGAATTAGGGTGTTTGGCACCTTTTTAAAAGCAGTAACCAATTTTATTTGCAATTTGCTTTAAGAGACAGAAATAAACCTGATTGTGTATATAGTTCTTTGTAGTCATTAGTAAGTTGTAGCCTGACCAGTGTTACAGGGATCTGAGATAAGCATAGTACAACTAGTATATCCAAATGTTAAAATACTGTTTTACTAAGATCTGGTTCATTATCAAGCTCTCATAATGCATTTAAGTTTGGTTCATAAACTTTAAAAACACAGCTACTATTAAAAACTTAGGAACAACAGAGTAAAGTTACCTGTTGACGGGTAGTTTTATGTTAACACACACGTTAACATGGAGTGGCTTCACTTTTCACTCCATTTTCTTCTCTATTGCTGGTGTTATTGTTCTTAAATTTTTCACATGTATTTACTATAGCCTTAGCTATTCTATAAAGATTTCAGATTAATTCACCCACAATAAACTACAATTAGTAAGTCAAGGGCTGTTGGTAGATGATAATCCCCCAAAAGATGTCTACACCCCAATCCTTGGAACACCTGTAAATATGTTAGGTTACATGGGAATAGGGAATTAAGGTCACAGATGGAATTTAAGTTGCTCATCAGCTGACCTGAAAATAGGAACATTACCCTGGATTATCTGGGTGGGGTCAATGTAATCACAAGGGTCCTTTGTAGTAGAAGAGGGAATCAGAAGGGAAGGTCAGAGATACTAGAGAAAGACTGGGTCCCACACTGCTGGCTTCAAATATGGAGGAAGGGATCATGAGCCAAGGAAATTGGGTGCCCTCTAGAAGCTAGAAACCAAGGCGCAAAAAAAAAGGAATCTCCCTGAAAGTCTCCAGAAAATGAATGCATCTTGCTGACACCTTGATCTTACCCAGTGAGATCTGCACAGACTTCTGATCCACAGAACCGTAAGATCATAAATTTGTGTGGTTTTAAGCCACTACACTTGTAGTAATTCATCACAACAGCAATAGAAAACAGGAATAGAGAATTAGGATTTGTGATTAATATAAATTTTGCAAATCCGTACAAAAGAACTTACAGGTTTTTGGTTGTGTCTTCTGACTCACACTGAACAGTTGGGTTGCTCAGTGAAGGGTTTCAGACAGTTCAGTGGAACGCAAAGAAAGAGGGCTATGAAAGGTATATATGATCATCAGGCTTTTGCTTCTTTTTCTCATTCTCAATTCTCAGAGCACAATTGCTAAGCACATGGACTTTAGAGAAAAGAACTGAGCTAGGTAGGATTCCTGCTCTGACAACAGCAGGGTAACCTGGCCAAGTTTCCCAACTTCTCTAAGTTCCAGTTTCCTCAGCTCTAAGCCTTCACCTTTGAGTTGACCAATGTTTATACTAAGTGCTCAAAACCAGGGATGCCTTACAGAGGGCTCAAGGAGGCTTTCTGATTGCCACAAAGATTACATGGGGTGAACTTTACAGGTACTGAGATGCCCTGGTACTTTTACCTAATAGAGGTATGCATTCACTGTCTTAAGATGATTCTAAGTTTTTTTAAGTGTAAAACTTTTTTTAAAGAGCAGGTTTTTTCTTAAAACAGGAGAAACTGAAAGATGAAATTCATGTAATTCACTAGTTTGTGTAAGGCTGGTTGTACCTGGGACTGAGAATGGCTTTGGATCTACTACTCATTGAAAAATCTGCTCATTTTCCCTTTTTTTCCTCAAAAGGAAAACCTCAAATAGCTAATATGACCATACCTTCCCTATTCTCCATAAAATGTTTCAGTCAATCAGCGGTTACAAGATCTGCCTCTAACCCCTGGAGATGCTCATCCCTAATAGAAAGCTATATGGGCCTTGCCTATTTTAAAAACATGTATCAAGATTCGATCAGAACTGATTAAAGAATTTTAGATATGTAGAAAAAACTATTAGCGAAGAGGTGATCAAAAACTGACCTAAAAGCTTGTTTTCATTCATTAACCCACTCGTTTTTACTTTCATCTTGCAAAAGAAATCTGGAGTCTGATATTCCCTCAACCAGATATATCAGTAAAGGTAGATTTATTGACGATATACACATTTGAAATTGAAATGTTTTTAAAATGTGTAAAACCCTGACAGCAATTTCTTTGTAATGGTGCAAATTATAACTTAGATTTTGTTTTGTTTGGGAACTAACTTTGTTTTCTAACAAGTTAATTTCCAAAAGAAAAGTGGACCAAAGTTAAACGGGCTTTATTTAAACACAAGTTCTCTGTTTTAGAACCTTATGATAGTAAGTTTCACAGGATAAGGATAGGGAAAAAAGTACTGCAAGTCATTGCAAATTAAATAGAATGTTTGGTTCTGAATTTCCTCCCTTCTCTCCAGCAAAAATAACAAGGATAATTCTGTTTCAAAACCAATTTTTAACTCTAATCTTTAAGCTCTTTAGGAAAACAATCAATTTTGTGGAATTATTTATATTTTTCTTCATTAATACAGGTAAGTAAATAATAGAGTTCTCTTTCTTTTGTATTTTGGAAGGTTTTTCTTTTGTCAGCATCATTTGATAGCTCTTACTTTAAATTACAGCCATCAAAACCATGTGTTTTAGGGTTTAAATAAATTTAGATTTGAATTAACAATAGTTTTCATATTTTTTTTTCAAGTAAAACTGGCATATGAAACTGTACAGTTACTTTACGAATTAGGCTAAATCGCACATTTTATAAAAGGATTCAAAACATATTTCTCTTCAAGTTCTGCGGTCTTTAATTTTAATGATTAGTGAGTCAGAGTACCAAATTGCGATGGTGTAAAAGTTTTCAGAAACTTACCTATAAAGTGGGCTATAGCTGCACAGTGTTTCACAGGTAGTTCTAAATTCTAGCCTCTTTAGAACTACACAATTCATCTCAGCCTACAATTTAAGATTTTAAAAAAATTGTTTTTCCCCTCATCTAATGCCTGACATAGATAGCTATTTCTATATGTTCTTGGCTGAGTAACAAAAAATCAATGTCTGAAGGTAATTAAAGCTTTAAAGAAGAAATTCTTTTACTACTGAATTTCAAGTCACACACACAAAATAGGTGAGAAATTATTTTATCATATTTAGAATCAAAATATCCCTTAAAATATTTACATTTTACAGTAAAAAGGATAGCAAAACACAAGATCATGTACAAGCTTAAGTATTCAAGTTTCTGAAGAGCCAAAAATGAAAATGAAAATAATGGCCTACCACAAAGCTGTAGTATATGGTAATAAATGACTTCAATGAGTGCAGATTAAAGCAATAAATGTACCCCTTGGGCTTCTGATTCTTGGTCAAAAACTGCTCAACTAAATGATTAGCATAATCTGATTATGAAGTTGCTTGGATTTTTGTTGCTCCTCTACAGTTTCTTTAAAAACAGTGCAATTTAAAACAAACTTACAGAGCACACATTACTCCCAAATTAGTCATTATATAAAGGACATTCACTAGAGGAAGTAAATATATTCCATAGTTAACCATATTTACCAATTAAGGAATAAAACTAAAATTTCTAAGCCTTTATTGCATATTAATAAAACAAATCTTTGAATATACAGCAATGTAAAACTTTTAAAAATATTAAATTCCTATAACTAGGGACCGTTGGTATGAAGAAGGGATGATGAGCACTGGTACAGAGCACTCTGTACCAACACACAGAATTTACTGTTCTGCAAATGACCAATAGTAAAAATTTTAAAGATGGCACAATCCTAGCAGGCAATCTTTCTTTTGTTTACAAGATACAACATTTTAACAGTTATTTAAATGTAATCCTGAAGCAGCCTGCAAATTTTACCTTTTGCTTTTAGTTCTGTCAGTGTGGTCCCTATCTTTGTGGTACCTATCCCTGTCCTTTTCTCCTTCTCTGTGTTTACTTTTCTCTCGTTCTTTGTCCTTCTCATAGTCTTCACTTTTAGGTTTATCTGGCTTCTTGTCTACATTCCTACTATCTCTGCTTGCTTTTCCATCTGTTCCTCGATCACCATGTGATAACCGTGCCCTCTCTTTATCTTTGTGCCCTTCCTCCCTGCTTTTTCTGTCTCTGTCCTTGTCTTGGCTTCTGTCTCTGCGTCTATGCCTTTCAGATTCTTGCTCCCATTCCTTTTCATGTCGCTCTCTTTTCAAATGGTGTGAATCACTATAAAATCTCTGGCGGTCCCCTTTACCCCTATTAAATGGCCTATCCAGTTGCTGTTGGTCTTGCCTACCCCAAGGGTCACTATGGCGCCTTTCTGGCCTCCGAATGTCTTTAACCTGGTAAAAATTCTGCGGGCCTATATACCTTGATGCTTGTGAGAGAGGACCCATCATACGCTGTGGCTGACCTGGGAGATGAACAACAGGTGGCCAGGGAACCATGGGATTTTGAGCAAAGCCAAAGCCTGGAGGGGGAAGTAATGGAGGTGGCAAATGTGGTGGAAATCCAAACATGCTTTGTGGGGGAAAATTAGGAGGCCCTGGAAATGGAAATCCAGGTGGGCTAGACTTGAGATGCTGAAGGTTGGGCTGCTGTGGCCTCATGGGTGAAAAGTTTGTACTTGTTCTGGGGCTGGTGCTTCTGGAAGTAAAGGTGATGCTTTTAGAAGGAAATTCTGATGGACATGTGTTTCCAACTTCAAAATGAGATGTCGCTACTGCTGATCCTCTTCGAAATGGGTGCACAGTTTCAATATTTTGCATTAAAATATCCTCCTGTAAGGGTTTTGCTTGTTCTGCTTGAGAAGTCTGTATGTTTTCTACTGATGGTGAGTTTTGTGCAACTTTTAAATTGTCACTCTGCTGAACACACGAGTTTTTCTCTGCAGAACACAACTTTTCCTCTACATTGATTTGTTCTGTTAAGTGCTCCTTGTTGTGTGACAGGCCAGGCAGCATGTGTTTTTCTCCATTCCGGCAACTATCTCCATCTTTGCTTTCTGAAGTAGTTACAGGCTGACTTCGTCCTGCTGCTTGCCTAGGATCCCTTTTCAGGTTGATAAACTGTGGAGACCTCGCTGTATTAGCAACAAGGTTTTCACTACAGCTCACATTACCATCTATGTTTCCTTTTCCTACATTAGATCTGCATGGAGAACTATTTGAAGTCTGGTTATCTTGCAAATTATTCTCTTGATCTTCCTGAAGCTGTCTTTTTAATGTTTTCTCTTTACTCTCCACAGTTTCCTCTTGTTTTGACTGAATTGATAAATTTGTTAAAAATGCTTCTGTAGAAACATCTGGTGGCTTACCTCTGAGACTAAGACTCGTCAAAGACCCTGCAGAAATGGAAGAGGACCCTACTACTGATGTTTCTATTTCTGCTGACTTATCTGTAGATTCTGAAATATTATCTACTTTAACTTTTATCTCCTTGTTTTCACCATCAGTTACTTCCACATTATCTGTTTTCTCTATTTTTGAGTTGGTCTGCTCATTTAAAAATGGAATTTCTTTAACAGTGTTTTGTTCCATCACTGACTGGGCCTGGTCATATACTTGACCAGTGGTGCCCAAAAGGCTTTGAAGTATATCATCCACAGGAAGAGGTTTATTTGCTAATTCCAGAGTAGTAGGTTGATTCTCCCAGCCAATCAACACGCCAGGAAGAAATCTTAAAGGTTTTGGTGGCTCCTGTTTGGTGACTTCCATTAAAGGTTCAACTGCTGTTGGAAGGTCTTCCTGAAGATTCTGCTGAGGTTTATTTCTCTGCTTGTGTAATACAGTTGTAAAAGAATTAAAAAAGTCATTTTCTTCCTCTGGTGCTTCTTCTGTAGAAACTTCTATTTTACTTTTTTTATCAGGTGGCAATGCTATTGGTGGTGCACTTTCAGGAGTCTCAGCTATATGACTAGTACTAGCACAGGCACTGTGCTGTCGCTTCAGTTTCTGACGAATAATTAAGCCCAACAATAGATTAGGTCTATGCAGTTCAAGCCCTGTATAAAACCAAAAACATCAATTAATTCATCATTTTCAATCATTGCAAAAAAAGGTAAAATTCTGCCTCTAACTTATTACAGGATATTAAATGGTGCCTGGCCCTGTCAAGCCATCTCTAGAGGGCTGGATCCTGAGAAAGAAGGCAGAATCAGTCTTTTCACTCTGGTCCCACCTCCCATGTTATTTCATTCTTATCCTATTATTAAAACGTATACCTACCAGGTCCATCAAAAGGCACAAGAGGGTGTGGAATTTTATCTGTGGCACCCAAAGGAATAAGGTACATATCTTTAACCTGCTTCATGTTGTTAGCAGCTACTCCATAGCGCTTTCTGCTACTGAAGTATGCAAAGAGCAAAGTATAAGAAATTTGATCTTCTTCAGTTACTGGTGTGAAGCGAACCACACAAATTTCCTGTTCAAGAAAATAACAAATAATTGTTTAAGGTAATAAGCTAAAGAGTAGCTTGGTTTTAAAACTATTTCTCAATTAGTAATAATCTATTGAACTTTATAATGATGGTACCAAATAACGTGGTTTACCAACTTAAATACAGAAGAGAATATTAAAAGCAAGTAACTCTTAAGAAAAGATCTTTACTGATCCATTGATGGATTTATCTGATAGCTTACATTTCTTACGGAAACATAAGAAATGGAGTCCAAAGGTGATTAATGACTTTTTTGAAGGTGACAGATACAACTTGTCAGTGGCAGAGATGATACTGAAACCCAAGTCTTCTAATATCTACACTATATCCTGATTTCCAATGCTGTAACCTCCACAAAGGGCTGCTTATGTTCTTGAACCACTGGGAACTAAAAGCACCCAACACTTCCACCCTACCATACATTTATATACACAAACAGACAAATCTACTAATAATCCAGTTACTAGGCACTGAATTTAGAAATAAAAAGGGCTGGATGAAGAGACCTTAAATACATATAGACCGTAAATTTTGTAAAGTAATTTGGCTTAGGAATTTTCTTGCTTGCCTCTAGGTTTTGTTTCAGATAGAAAAGACAGTCCTAATTTGTTATTAATTTGGTAGTGTTCAACAACAATGTTTTTTTTCATGATGGTATATGGCCGAAATGGGAGAGCCAGATTTGCTGCAAAGCCTAAAACTGATACAAGCTCCTAAGGAAAACATGTGAATGAGCTGAAATATGACTCTCTTATAAAATGTGTGTCATCTAAACTGCCCTCTTTTAGAGTAAAAATCACCATACATATGTTAGTAACAACTATTACAGAGTGTTTAAATCTGTTAAATTGGAACATACTATAAAGTGTTGGGCAGTAATATATGTGTGGATTCAAGAGTGATTCTCAAAATGCCCAAGAGTAATACTTCTCATTTTTATTAGTGCTTTAAAGTTTATTTGTATTTTAACACTGTATCAATTTAAATTCTAAAAATCTATACTGGAACAAAATATTCTTTTCAGCTTAAGATTATCCATTTTGGATCATTCCAAAGAAAAGCTAGAGACTTCTGAAAAAGAGGCAAAAAAGTAACATTTATTCATTCAAGATTTATTTATCGAATGACTGTTAATATACTAGGTACTATCACATCCCGTGGAGGGAAAAACAATTTCTTCTAATGATTAAATTTTCCTCTGTAGTAATATTCTATAAGTTAAAAAAAGAAAAGAAAATGTAGAGAGAAAAAGGAAAAGGAGAAATATTATTGTGATAGAGCCATTTCGCAGTATCTTTTCTCCTTTCCTCCTATTACTAATAAGAAGCCCTTAACTTTTAGCTGGGCACATGGCCATCCAATAAAGATTACATTTCCCAGCCTCCCTAGCAGCTATGTATGGATGGCTATGTGACTAGGTTCTTTCCAATGGAAGTTAATGACTGCAATTTGCCTTTCAAACAACTAGACAGGTATTCCTCATTTACTCCTATTTGGTATGTTTGACTGCTGAGGACAACACTCCAATCAACTTCTGTATTTTTTGAGTCACTATATTTTAGATTCTCTTTTTTGCAATAGCTTAGCTGTGCCCTAACTCAAACACTTGTCTGTAATAGAAGCAAGGCAAAATTCCAGGGTGAATTTCAATACTTACTCTAAAACATTTCTTCTAAAACATTAACAGAAGCCACAAAGAGAGCATCCCAGGAGAGGAAAAAAAAAAAATGCTGTACTGTTGACAGCCTCAGCAAATGGCTTTTGTTCAGTTTTGTGAGGTATATTACATAGACTTAAAATGTGTATTGCCTCCTTTCCCCAGGAGACTTTGCACCCTTGCATAAGAATTCTAAACTGTTTACTTTCTAAACATTTTCCCATGCTGGTATAGTGAAAAAAGTTTTCCTCACCTTGGTTCCTGATGCTTTTATTTTTTCCACATAATCCCAAACTGTCTGAGGTGATATCCTGCCACCTACTTGAATACTATCTGGTAGGTCCTATGGTTAAAAAAAAAAAAAAGAGATCAATATATATAGATTATCTTTATTATGACATTAGTAATTCATACAAATTTGATTCTAAGACTAATTTGAAACAGTAATAAAAACAAGTAAATAAAGAGATTATGAAAAATGCATCGGAAAACAGAATACAGAGAGCAATTAGGTTTTACTTGAAATGCCAACTACAAATGACTGTTGCCTAAAATACAGCTACTAAGAAAGAGTCTGAGTTCATGCCCAATCTCACTATGAAAGATGGGAAAGGGAAGCAATGGCAAGCATACCACATTAACAATTCAGAAAGAACACAACACATTTCAGAATATTAGCAGAGATTGTAACCTCCCCTTTTGGTAGCAGTAGGCAGGAAAATTCCTTAATAATTAACAGCTGAATTTCAAAGGTTACCAAATGTAATTACAGAGTGTATTTTTGCACAAAGGAGAATAATATTGTAATAATTCAAGGTTTATTTTTTTAAAGGCATAATCTTTCTGAAAACAGATGACTACACATGAAAGCAATTAAGAATATTTAAAACTTTATTCAGTACATTCCTATTTTTTCCACGAAGACTGAGGAAAATCATAAAAACATAATTGATATTAAATTCAATTTAGTTTATTTAAATTATTAACTACTTTAAAATATTTGATTTGGGATTTCAGTCCAAACTAAAAACAAGTACAAAACGGAAGTGAAAATCTGGAAAGCAACCACATAAAAACTGTGTCTCGGAGGGGAAAATAATAATCTTGTTTAAAATCAAAAGGATTTTGTAGTTAAGGGCTTACCTCTCCGTTTAAAGAATTATCTTCACCATGGACTGACCAAATAATAAATTTCTAAACAGATTTGCTCAAGAAGAACATCATGGATCTAATTCATTTTTCTCTTATAAAGCTCACATTTTTAAAATATCAAGCAAACTGTATATAAAAGTGATTAGTCTGTTTATTAATCGAAAACACACTGCTAGGCTGGGCCCGGTGGCTCACATCTGTAATCCCAGTATTCTGGGAGGCAGAGGCAAGCAGATCACTTGAGGGCAGTAGTTCAGAACCGGCCTGGCTAACATGGTGAAGCCCCGTTTCTACTAAAAATACAAAAATTAGCCAGGTGTGGTAGCACACATCTGTTAATCCCAGCTACATGGGAGGCTGAGACAGGAGAATGGTTGAACCCGGGAGGCAGACATTGCAGCAAGCCAAGATCACGCCACTGCACTCCAGCCAGGGCGACAGGGCAGACTCTGTCTCAAAACAAAAACAAAAACAAAAACAAAAACAAAAACAAACCCACAACTGCTAACCAAATAAACTGATCAATATTACATAAACAGTATTACATTGAATTAAACTAATTGCAGCCTAATCCAAAGAAAAGTGAAGTTTATGTTAGCCTTAAAAAAAAAAAAAAGACAGGCAAATGATTTAGGCTTTTTCAAATAATAAAAGGAATTTTTTTACAATCTTTTAATTCTTTAAAATCAGCAGATAGAGAATAAATGAAAAAGGTCAGATACGAACAAGATAGCAAAATATGATCTCAACATAAATACAGTATATATGTACTGATTTATTTTCCTTCTATACACATATAAAAATACATTTCCTTCAAAATAATTCAAAAATGTCACTGTCTCATTTATCACAATATTATAATGTTACTGCTGCTTATTTTCCATAAATACCACATAATAGTTTCTTTCTATTTCCCTCAGGTGTAGAACCAACCAAGGGTATCACTTGCAGCAACTACAGTCACTAGTCTCACTGGTTTTCAACTAGCTGTAAAGCTTCAACTCCCAGTCTACATAAACCACATTCACAGAAATAGGCAGGTAAGAACAGTAGTCATGAAGATGGGGAAACATAAGCAGTGGGGAAATCAGAAGATCTGTTTAACAAAAAATTCTTAATGTGTTAACATTAAAGACCAAAAGTATGTAAATCTTTTATTTAAGTGTGTATTCAAAGAAAAACTTGGATATCCATGTAGACTCTCATTGATTTTGAATTATCTGACACAGTGAGGCAGTACATCTTGGGAAAAGTGCAGGACATAGGAGTTTAAAACTTTCAGAGAATAGTTTATTTTACAATTCTAAAGATCCATTTGTTAATTCATAATTATATTACTTGGACTGTTTAAAAATCATTGTTAATAAATATTTCTATTACTAACTCTGTCTTATTTCCCTGTCAATTACTTTCAGAAACACACATTATCAATTCATGCACAGAAAAGCAGAAAAGTTCACAGTACCTCTGTCAGGTATTCTGGGGAGCCAGATACTGGATAGGCTTTGGTAACAAATTTTGCCACAGAAGGCATGTTGATAAAACCTTTCCAGATGAAGTTCAATCGAGCCAGAAAGGTAGACTCAACTTCAACAGTTCCAGGCATCTCTGGACTAGAAAATGACATTAAAAAGCCTAAAGACAAGCTGATGAATAAATCAATGTCCTACCTAGTCATCAGTTACTCGTATTTTAGCATGTGAAGAAGGCCAAAATATGAGGCTATTGACAAAGAGTTCACACTTTCATTTTATAAAATTACATTCATATTTACATAGTAATGTTTTACAAAATCTTCCCTCTTGGCTGGCTTAGGAGAACTAAGATTGAGAAAAGTGCAAACATTTCGTCTTTAATAATCTATCCCTGACTTTTGGGACCAGCATAATTAAAGAGAATTTTAAAGCTGTTTCCCCACACGCTCCAATCTCTCACTGAAAACACTCCAAATATATTTATTTTCGAAGTCTTGTTTTATCTCAAAGTACAGGAAAGTACAGTTATTTTCTCAAATGAGAGGTTCCCAAAATGTCACTTTTCTGTTTTTGAAGACTTGCAAGTATAATCTGGCAAAGATCTATAATGAGTATTACAGAATTTACAACAGAGAAAATTACCGTGGAGCAGGAGAGAACGTTGACTTTGGAGACTCCTGTTTCTCCTCCTCAAAGAATTCAGAAGCCAAAATATTTGAGGTTGAAGATAATGCATCTGCTATACTTTCTGCTTCATTGTCTGAATGTTTGCGAGCTACTCCTACAACAACTTTTACTTTTTTTGGAGAAAGATCATCTACAGGTGGTGCCATTCGACCTAAGCCCAGAATACATCAAAAGAAACCAACTGTTAACTACAACTTTTATAACTTAACCCATTTTCACTTTCTAAAGTTATTCAGGTTCTATGATTCAATTGCTGAGTAACCATACATTTCCTGGGGTTATATCTAACTGTCATCATTTAGTTGTATCACAACCACATTTAAGAATCAGCAGAAAATTCACTAGTGTTCTCCCCACTGCCAGCCCTCTTCTATATACAGGGACCTAAGCTTATCTGAAATGCAATTCAAAGCAAATCATGCATGGTTCTACCTGTAATAAAGTTAATTTCCCCTTAAAATCTCTTTATAATTATTTCCTACATGTAAAACATATCATGAGTAAATATGGACAAGATTAGCAGTCCCCAACCTTTTTATCACCAGCAACCAATTTCATGGAAGACAATTTTCCCATGGACGGTGGGATGAGGGGAGAGATGGTTTCAGGATGAAACCATTACACCTCAGATCATCAAGCATTAATAGTTAGATTCTCATAAGGAGCACGCAACCTAGATCCTTCACATGTGCAGTTCACAATAGGGTTTGCACCCCTATGAGAACCTAACGCCACTGCATCTGACAGGAGGCGGAGCTCAGGCAGTATCGTCCACCGCTCACCTCCTGCTGTGAGGCCCAGTTCCTAATAGGCCATGGACCGTACAGGTTTGTGGCCCGGGGGTTGAGGACCCCTAAGGTAGTAATTCCTCTCTTAGTGAAGTGAAAAATTAGAAGAAGAGAATGTTAAACAACTCAGACAAGCTAAAATGAAAATATTATTACTAGAACCTAAAACAGGTTTCTTAATTCTCTGACAATTTTACCAAATTCCAATAGTCTCGAGAAGTAACATGAAGAACTAAGACAAATCTGTATTATCTGTATCCAGGTTTGGATTATATAGCAACAGCTCATGACTATACATGCCTGAAGAGACACCTCACCAGAGAAGCTATACAGGTGGCATATAAGCATGAAAAGATGCTCCACATATGTCATCAGGAAAATGCAAAGTAAAACAACAGAGAGATACCACTATACACCTATTAGAATGGCCAAAATCTAGAATACTGACAATACCAAATGCTAGCAAAGATGTAGAGCAACAGGAACTCTCATTCATTGCTGGCGGGAAGGCAAAATGAACTCTGATTCGTTGCTGGCAGGAAGGCAAAATGGCTCAGCCTCTGTGAAAAATAGTTTGGAGGTTTCTTATAAGATAAACATACTCTTACCATACAATCCAGCAATTGTGCTCCATGGTATTTACCCAAAGGAGCTGAAAACACATCCACACAAAAAGCTGCATACAAATGTTTATACTAGTTTTATTCGTAATTGCCAAAACTTGTAATAAAACAAGATCTCCTACATTAAGTGAATGGAAAAACTATACATCCAGACAATGGAATATTATTCAATGCTACAAAGAAATGAGTTATCCAGCCATGAAAAGACATAGGGGAAGCTTAAATGCATATTACTAAGTGAAAGTAGCCAATCTGAAAATGTTACATACTAGATGATTCCAATTACACAATATTCTGAAAAAAGCAAAACTACAGAGACAATGAAAAGATCAGTGGTTTCCAGGGGCTGGTGGGGGTGTTGGGGGAAGGGATGAATAGACAGAGTAAAGAGGATTTTTAGGGCAGTGAAAATACTCTGTATAATACTATAATGCTAGATTCACGTCTTTACACATTTGTCCATACCCACAGAATGAACAACTCTAAGAGTGAACGCCAATGTAAACTATGGATTTGGGGTCATTATTTTTCAATGTAGGTTTGTCAACTGTAGTAACTGCACCACTCTGGTGTGGGATGTTGCTAACAGTGGAGACTATGCACGTAGGGAGGCAGCAGGTATGTGAGAAATCTCTGTAACTTCCTCCCAATTTTGCTATGAACCTAAAAGTGCTCTTAAAAATAAAAAGCTTTTTTACAAAAAAGTAATTTCAGTTTCTGATTTGTCTTATGTTATATATAATAAAATATAAATGCTATTTTACTCCTTTACTTTAGTAAATGACAGTATCATCACAACTGCCCACAATGTTTGATGTTCATTCTAATGGTTAAATTCTTGTCATTTGACTCCAGCAAGAACAGTTTTTAAGTTCAAATCATATATAGTATAATTAGGTCTAGACAGTAGACTATACCACAGTATCAAACTATACCTCAACCCAGAAAACCAGTCACACGAAAGCTTAAAGACTGTGAGTGAGTGCCTCACCACCAATATTGGGAAAACAAAACCTACTTAAATTACATATACTAGTATCTAAGTATCCTTCTTTCATAATGAATGCAAAATTTTACGAAGAAAAACTTCCAATTACCTATGCAGATTTTGCAGTTGAGATCAAAAAGATGCTGTCTGTGTTGACTAGTGGTATCTTTAGACATAGAGTCAACCTCCTCTTTTTGTTTTTCAGATCCTTCTGGCTTCTCCAATGACTTATTGGCGGCTGGTTCCTAACGTAAGTCAAAGTAAAAATTAGTTTTAGCTGATAAAATTTGGCCTCAATTATCAAAATCAATTTATATTTTCCATTTATATTTTCCTAAAATGCAGTTGTTCCATAGATAAGTTTTTGATTTTTGTTTTTTGGTTTTTTTTTACTATTTCTTAAGAAAATGAATGCTAGCTTTTAACTGTGACTTAAAAGAGCAAAAATTAAAACATTCCCCATTCTTCAAGCCTTCTAGTAAGATTTCAAATTATTTCTTCACTGACTTTTGAAAATAAGAAAAGCTATGCCACCTATCAAATGACACTCTGCCTAAGAAACACTTACAAATTTCTAAGCCTACTAAAAAATTCACTAAGTCAGGCCAGGCACGGTGGCTCACACCTGTGATCCCCACACTTTGGGAGGCCGAGGTGGGCAGATCACTTGAGGTCAGGAGTTTAAGACCAGCCTGGCCAACATGGTGAAACTCTGTCTCTACTAAAAATACAAAAATTAGCTGGGTGTATTGGCGCATGCCTGTAATCCCAACTACTTGGGAGGCTGAGGTGGCAGCATCGCTTGAACCTGGGAGGCGGAGGTTGCAGTGAGCCGAGATTGCTCCACTGCACTCCAGCCTGGGCAACAAAGCAAGACTCTATCCCACCAAAAAATAAAAAGAAATTCACTAAGTCAGAGCACTCCAGGAATCTACACTGTAATAACTGTTCAACAGGTACCTATAATGCAATTTGAGAGACATTACTCAACACTCAAAAAACCACTAAACCAATAAAATAGGCTACTTTTAAATGGATGCATATTTTAAAATTCTTTTCTCTACTTTAAAAACATTAGGCAAATAAACCTTTTCTGAATCTTCATGTTTTGAGCTATAAAACATGGCATATCTATCCTTACCTGAATCTCCATGGCTGCTTCCTGTTCTTTCATTGGGGCATCACTCTCAATTTCTATTTCACCTTTATGAGTTATTTTGGTGATTGGCCGTCGTTCCACTTCTCTCTGCTCTTTCTCAATCATTTCTATGGTCTAACAGAAAATACTTTTTTAAAAATATTAAATTTAAAATATGTATTTCCAAGTGTACACCTTAAATAATAAGAGCTTACCTAAAAATAAACAAATCACCACAGATGACTTTTAATCTTAAGGTAATGTCTCATATAACAAACATATTCTGAGTACTTTTATATGCCAGAGACAGTTTTAAGTACTGCGGTTATAAGAATTAGACCCCGTACCTCAACCATGAGAAGTTCACATGTACATTTATATCAGGAGGCAAATGAAGTCCAAAGTAATTTGCAAAGTGGTGAAACATACTATTTGTATTTGAAATCTGTTTGCTGATTTAGTACTTTTTAGCAGCTGCCACAGGGAAATAGGAACTATTTTGCTCTTAAATTCCTAATTCAATGTTCTAACATCCCCCACAATAGTAGTTTATTCAAATGACCGATCTGGTAGTCCTTTGTTAGCTGTCTCCTAACTAAGCCTGCTTAGTGACCCTGAAAATTCGGTTGAACAAGCTTAGCAACAAAACATCAAAATTAAGCAAGTATAACAAGTAGTAGTATAAAGGTAGCCAGGAATAGAACAGGTAAGGAAGGCATAGATGGTACTGCCTTTGTTAAGTACAAATCATCCTTTAAAGAAAAATCAGGTACATGGCCTTAAGAAAGAACAAGCTGGCATTTTCTGATACAGATGTTACTCGCAGCCAGTTTCAAAGCAGAAGAGTGGCATGTGCATATTTGAGATATGGAGGGAAGGAAGAGGAGGTGATATTATTTTCAAAATATAAGAGGAGGAGAAATTACATACGGTGAAGGTAAAGGAATGTATGAAGAAGTATGATATGTCAAATCAAGGCCTCTAGATGAGCTTCAAACTAGATCTGGCATAGGTCTATATGGAGGTTTAGTGCCTGAGATGTAACTAAATATTATGAACAAAAGAATCAGATAAATCATGTAGAGTTAATATGAACTACAACCAGTATTTTCTAGAATAAGGGGCTAACATTCTGATGCCATTGTAATACAAAAATTGGATAACATGGCTATCTCACTGTCACAATGGCTCTAAGTAACATACTTAATTTTTAAAGGTACTTTAAATACCTTTAAGTTCACAATCTCCAAACAAAAATTCTTGCTATCTGTGAGTTTCAGAATTTTTAAATTTAAACATGAAATATGGTGCACACACTCTATATTACATAACATTCCAGTTAGGTCTGAGACACGTAATTAAATATACAATATTTCTGTGAATATGAACATTCATACATGGCAATTCAGGTTAAGCTTTATCAATAAATTAGTTATGCGAAAATAACTTTATTTTTCAGGGCTTTTGGCATTTGAAACTTTGGATAAGAGATAAGCCTGTACACATTTTTATTCTGACTTAATTCATCTGGCTCTACAAATTACCAATATTCATAATACCTTCAAACTGTGCTGCTGAAAAATACAGATGTAATTATGAAAAGATGTTAATTCTTTTCCCATCCTTCTCATTTACAAACTATAATAAAACACAAGGTAATTCTGTAACCTAGTAACTGGAGAAAATGAGAAAAAAACCTGACAAGATCAGAGAAACCAACAGAATTTAAGAACTAGAGGAATGGAGAACAAGTAATTAAAAGAAGCATGTAGGTGGCTCATGCCTGTAATCCCCACACTTTGGGAGGCTGAGGTGGGCGGATCATGAGGTCAGGAGATCGAGACCATCCTGGTTTAAGAGGTAAAACCCCACCTCTACTAAAAATACAAAAATTAACTGGGCGTGGCAGCACGTGCCTGTAATCCCAGCTACTTGGGAGGCTGAGGCAGGAGAATCACTTGAACCCAGGAGGCAGAGGTTGCAGTGAGCTGAGATCATGCTGCTGCACTCCAGCCTGGCGAATGAGCTAGACGCCATCTCAAAAAAAAAAGAAGCATGTAACAGAAAGTCTGTGTTATTATGCAGTCTGTGTTGAATTTACCTCTGTATAATTTTTACCCAATGGCTGAAAAACATAGATTTTGATAGTCAAATGCATATTTATAGATAATCTTACATGTCTGTTTTCTCTTCGTCTCCAAGCAGCTAACTCTTTAGAAGCTAGTTCTTCTGGACTCATTCTGATAAGATGATCAGGAGTTACTTCTCCTTTCAGTACTTTTTTAAATAATATCTGGAAGGATTTTAAAATAGGAATAGAAGGGGAGACAAACATTTTGAGTGGCTACTACACAGAAATTTATAATAAAGATACAATTTTTGAAGACTGATTTACAAATACTTAATTATTTATATATTACCTACTACACAGAGATTAAATGACAGCTTTGTGTTCTAGGAATTTAAGGCAGCAAAACACACATTTCATATAAAAATCAACATATATGGAGAAGCATGTACAGTAGAACCATTACAATACCTACCCAAAAGTTGTATTAAGTCTACCCAGGGACACAATATAACCATAACAATAAGCAATCTATAGTATAGCGAGGTACTGCATCAAAGAGCTTTACTCAATGTAATGGTCTTCATAGTTTTAAGATTTTACATATTTAAATCCTGACAGGCTTGGAGGAAACTGCAGAGCAAAAAACCACCTGCAAGAAAGAAACCTGAAAGAAACCTGAGGGAGGCCGGGTGCCGCAGCTCACGCCTGTAATGCCAGCACTTTGGGAGGGCAAGTCAGGAGGATCACAAGGTCAGGAGTTTGGGACCAGCCTGGCCAAAATGGTGAAACCCCGTCTCTACTAAAAATACAAAAATTAGCTGGGCGTGGCGGCGTGTGCCTGTAATCCCAGCTACTCGGGAGGCTGAGGCAGGACAATCATCTGAACCCGGGAGTGGAGGCTGCAGTGAGCTGAGATGGCGCCACTGCACTCCAACCTGGGCGACAGGGCAAGACTCTGTCTCCAAAAAAAAGATAAAAAAACCTGAGGGAAATAAATCTTTATTTAATTGCTGAAGAAAAGCTTCCAGATTATGTAATTCCAGAAGCATCTGATCCTCGGGACCATGATGGCAGAATGTACAATTTTAAGTCTCTGTTAGTGTACTTCAAGAAAATACCTCAAATCACCTACTGTAGCAAATATCCTTATACAAATTTATATCAGTTGTGTGAAAACCTTTTATGCAAAAAGGTTGCATCTAATCACATTCTGTTACCTAGAGTAATCTATAGCAAAAAACTGCTGGTGGACCTAGGTAAATGTCACACACAAGAGATCAGTCATGTTCTGAACCTTTAAAATGTTCGCTGGCATGATTTTTGCTTATTGTACTTATCAGAGACCTACTTTTGGTGTTGAGAGCTAACACTGACACATACACGCACACACATGCACAGCCTTTAGATTTCCTCTGTCCAAAACATGAAATCCCAAGAAAAAATTAGGGGTTTAATTAACATTTACTCTACTGCTATAATACTTGGAACTAAAGTTATATTTAAGACTATCTTTAGAACTAAAGTTATGTATTTTCTTAAGAAAATAAATTACATTTCGATAAAAACAATTTAAAAGCATTTTTACTCTATCTTCAGATTTAAGTACAAAATAGCTCTATTTTCAGATTTAAGAAAAAAATAGTGTTATAAATTTTAGCTTAAAAGTTTTTGAAGAATACATATGAATGAATTTTTTAATAAATTGTATTATATAAAGGAGAGTAAAGAAAAAATAATATAAATCAGGTTAAGACACGTTTAGCATTTCAGTAGACTGAATGGTTAATGCTATTAGTATGCAGAATTATTCAGTAGCAAAAAGACTATTAAAATTACATGTTCTACATCAAAAGCAAATTATAATCTCACTCCAATTAATAAATTATAGATCTACTGTATTACAATCTGAGATACCTATGTACTCAGGAAAGTTGGAAGCATAAACATATGAACAAAGCATACTTACATTGTTTTTAGGATCTTTCAAATTAAACATCAAACTTCTATATTTGTTCTTATATTTAGCATCTGTGTCCCGAAAAAAAGAGAAAAGCTCTTTCTCAATTTTTGTGGCAACTTTTGCTGCCTTTTCCTCTGGTACCTTCAAATTTGAGTCTGTAAGTCTTAAAATTAGAACAATTCAATTATTTTTCAAATGTATAAAGCATAATTATTGATACTTCTATAATAAAAATATATGTTACCTCTTCATAAGAATGTCTTTGAGAGAATGTCTGACACTTTGCCTGATCTGATCTGCAGAAGGCTTGGAAGCAGAAGCAGCAGGATGTACATTAAGCACTCCTTTTTCAACTTTCTTCTTTTTCATCTCTTGCTTCTCATGAGTACCTAATTTGAATAAATATCGAAACTCATTACATTGCTTTTAAAAATATCTTTCCTTTTTAATGAATAAGTTTACAAACAAAACTGATTAAAAGTCACTATTTAGAAATAAGATCAGAACCCACAATCCATATTGAAATATTCCTGACACTGAAATCCTAATTAAAATGAATAGTGACTAAAAACTGGTCCTACTCTTTCCTCAATTTAGACAATGGCTTTTAGAGCTAGTTATTTTTCCACACATATATATTAATTAACTTTTAAAAAGTTTTCAGAAATTTTGATCTGAACTTATTAGGAGCAGATAACCTAATACCACAAAATTGATGAATCTCTTCTGGTTTTACTAATTTGAATGTTAAGCTTTTCAAATTATTTTTATTCTATCATTACTAATTCCCAAGCATCTCCAAAATCTCAATGTCAAACATCCCACTGCTCTGACTTATTATACCAGCACATTTATTCTAGAATCTCCTCATGCCAACAATTCTTAAATCTATGATTTTTACCATCTTCATGTATTCACTTTTCATACATTATAAACTTAGATTAGACAGTCTAATACCATTACCAGCCCCTCGTATACTTAATATCTTTATTCTCTCTCTTTTAAACATGTGTGTTGGCAAAACCACAACCCTGCTCAAAGCCAACTTTTATCCTTCACCCAAATAGGCAACAAACGGCTGAAGACAAGGGAGAAAAATAAGCACTGGTACTGACAGATGTCATTTTAAATTTATAACCACAAGTTTTAAGTAGGTAACTCAACCTTCTGCCCTAATCCTATTAACTTTTCCTAATAAATTTGCTCTCCCACTTTTTAAGATATCTATTTCATACTTTTTCTCCTCTCATCTCAAACCAACAATACCTCCTTCTCAACTACAATCTTTTTGATTTGCTCTTCATATTTCACTGAAAAAAAATGGAAAAACTGTCAACTATCATTTTCCCATTACCAAATCCAACCTACCTACATTAGTTCTTCCCCCTACCACATACAACCTTCCCTACTATCCAATGGATGAGCTTTACCTTTCTGATAAATACCTCCCTCCATGTGGAGTGAATCCCATCCCCTCTTGTCTTCCCGAGTTTCACACCTACACTATCACTTCTCTCTCTTACATCATCAACATCATCTCTCTCTAGCCGTCTCTTTCTATTGGATCATTCCCATTAGTCTTACAAACATGCTATGATATCTTCTTTAAAAAAAAAATTCACATCCACTTCTAACTACTACGGCATTTGTTTCTTTAAACAGCAAAACTCCCTGAGAGTTATCTGTAATCAACGTCTCCAGTTCCTCACTCTTCCATTCATTCATAAGCCACTACAACTGGTTTTTTTCCCTACTGCTCCACCGAAACCATTCTAGTCAAGGTCACCAGTGATTTCCATTTTGCTAAGTCATAGACTTAACAATCTTGTGTTAATCTTACTAAATGTCCAGACAGCATTTGGTCATTCCTTCCTTCTTGAAACTTCACCTGGCTTCCAGGCCACCAGTCTCAGTTCTCCTCTTTCCTCACAGGCCACCCATTAGTTTCCTTTGCTGTATAACCTCTTCTCTCCCCAACTCTTAAATGCTGATGGCCAGGTTCAATGGCTCATGCCTGTAATCCCAGCACCTTGAGAGGCCAAAGCAGGAAGATCACTTGAAGGCCAGGAGTTTGAGACCAGCCTGGCCAACATAACGAAACACCATCTCTACAAAAAATCAAAAAATTAGCTGGGTGTGGTGGTGCACACCTGTAGTCCAGCCACTCAGGAGGTTGAGGCGAGAGGATAGCTTGAGCCCAGGAGTTCAAGGCTGTAGTGAGCTGCTATTGCACTACTGCACTCAAGCCTGGGTGACAGAGTGAGACCCTGTCACAAAAATAAAGTAAAAATAAATGCTGGTGCTTCCCAAGGGCTCTGCTTCTGTCCCTTCATTGTCAAACTCTCCTGTAGCTATTTATATCTAAGCCCATGATTTTAAATACAGGTTGAGTATGCCCTTATATGAAATGCTTGAGACCAGAGTATTTTCAATTTCAGATTTTTTCAAATCTTGGAATATTTGCATTGTACTTACCAGTGGAGCATCCCAAATCAGAAAATCTGAAATCCACAATGCTCCAACAAGCATTGCCTTTGTGCATCATGCCAGCATTCAAGTTTCAGATTTTAGATTTGGGATGTTTAACCTGTACTAACTGCTATGCACTAGTAAATCCCAAATTTATATACCAACCTCCAAAGTCTTCTAATAGGCTCCAGACTCATCAGCCAAAGATTTACTCAAAACATTTCCATCTCGATGTCTAATAGGAATCTCATAATGGCCAAAACATAATTTTTCAATTTTCTTCCCCAAACCTTTTTCTTTTCTCAGACTCTATTTCCTTCACCAATACCAACCTATATCTAACCCATCAGCAAGTTCTGTCAACTCTATTATAAAACATATGTGAATCTGACTACTACTCACTACCTTCATTCTATTTCCATTCCAAGCTACCATCATTTCTTTCCTAGGATATTGCTACGGACTAATCAGGCTACTCTCTTTCTCTCCTGCCTTCCTACAATCCAAACTGTACAGAGCAACCAGAGTTTTCCCTTGCACAAAACCCTCTAAAGGTTTCCCACAACATTCAGAACAAAATATAAACTCTGCCATAGCCCCAAAGGTCCCATGAGGTAGAATAAACCATCAGAGTACCTGCTACTCTTGTTCTAATTACAATCCACAAAGAATTACTAGTAAAACTGGAATTCTGGGATCCTTGGGAGAAATTAATCACATCCTACTAATAATGTTCCTGAAAGACAGGGAGAGGAACGCTATACAGATAGACATATACTCAGGTTTTAAAATAGGGTACGAGCAATAATTTTCTCTGAACTCATCTTCTAACACTGTTCTATCCCTTTATGTATTACCTTCTAATCACTCTACAGTGGCTTTCTTGCTCCTCAAATGCCACACTTCTTTCTACCACAAAGCCTTAAGATTTGATGTGTCCCTTACCTAGTACCTCCTCCAAAAATCTTTGCACCCCTTCAAATCCCACCTCACAAGTTACTTCCTCCATTCCATGTAAAACAGAAGTCCCATTACTCTTCCCACCTGTGACTATCCATCCCATTACTCCACTTTTTCTTCTCAAGCTGTAAAATAACATGCAATTTTCTTACTTGCAAACTTACTGCCTTCTTCCATTAGTATTTAAGTGCCATGAGAAGAGGGGTCTTATCTTAATTTCACTAGCGCTTCCCCAGAATTTAGAGCAAGTTTTTAATTACAAGTAAGGCCAATCACCTAACCCATTTGTATTGCCTTAATGGCAATACAACATTTAATAATGTTAAATTTGTAAAAATTCCCTAAGTATACTAATTAATTGTATCTTAAATAAGATATAAATATATTAGTATATAATTTTTTCTGTTCATCTCACTACCTGGTTTTGAAGCTTTTTCTCCTGTGCAAGTAACAGTTGTAGACTCTTTCGGTATTTTTTCACTTTTTTCTTCTGAGGATCTCCGAGGTAAAACTGGTTGTCCCATCTTACGAAGAGGAGCTAGCTGCCATTTTTTAATTTCATTATCTCTACAGTCTGATGAATTTCTGCCTTCACCAGACTCCTGGAAAATGAGTACTTAATTCATTAGAATGAAAATAACTAAACAATCTTTGTTTTTTAAGACGTACAAAAATAACTCTTGATTATTAGTAAAATGAGATTCACTCTTTCATTCGAAATCTATTCTGCACCTATTTTGTGTAGAACACATAATAGCTTATAAAGGAGAAACAAAGGACATAGAGATCATGTTCCCAATACCATTAGTAGAAAGAAAATTAAAAATAAGGTAGTAAGAATTCTCTTATTTGGCTCTGGATATGGAAAAAGGAGGAAATTGTAAAGAAACAAGTATCTATATTCTAAAACAAATGAAATTAAGTTCACTTATATACTAGCAAGTGTATCAATTAAGTTCTCAGTATGCCTATTGGCAATTTTAATTCCCATGAGGTAGAATAAACCATCAGAGTACCTGCTACTCTGGTTCTAATTATAATCCACAAAGAATTACCAGTAAAACTGGAATTCTGAGATCCTTGGGAGAAATTAATCACATCCTACTAATGTTCCTGAAAGACAGGGAGAGGAACGCTATATAGTCAGACATATACTCAGGTTTTAAAATAGGGTACAATCAAAATAGTGCTTTTCTCTAGACTAAGAATCCTCTAATTTTTTATTTATTTGTCTGGTTTTTGTCTGCAACTAGACATTCTTGAGAGCAGGAATATACTTCAATATTATACACCCAAGGCACGTAGTGCTATGCCACACAACAGAAACTCAATAAATAGTTCAACATAAAAATCTAGGGATAAGAAAAGCAGATTCCATAAACTAACATCAGACAAGTCCAAGAGAGAGTCAACAGTTCACATCAAAAAGAAAAGGAAGCAGTGATCACTTGTATGGTGCACACATTTACAAAATCAGACTCACCTCAGATTCTTTTCTGATACAGACTGGATAAAGAGGTTCTCAAAATGTTAAAATTGTTAACGTTTTATGATGTCTTTTCATTTATTTATGAGACGGAGTTTCACTCTTTTGCCCAAGCTGGAATAAAGTGGCACAATCCCAGCTCACTACAACCTCCGTCAGGTTCAAGCGATTCTCCTGCCTCAGCCTCCCAAGCAGCTGGGATTACAGGCATGCACCACCATGCTCGGCTAATTTTTGTATTTTAGTAGAGACGGGGTTTCACCATGTTGCCCAGGCTGGTCTCAAACTCCTGGCCTCAGGCGATCCGCCCACCTCAGCCTCCCAAAGTGCTAGGATTACAGGTGTGAGCCACTGCACTCAGCCTTTATGATGTCTTTTTAAGCAAGACAGAGACAACTCAGCTATGGTCAATACAATGAGCTATATTTCTCATTGTACTGCATATGTATATGGCCAAGAAGCTGTACGTAAGAGGTGATTATTAATACTAGTTAATAATAAATAGAAGTTTTCCAAAGACATGCTATAAACTGTTCTCATTGTGGCTCTCAGATCCATATTATCAATTACTTTGATGATCAAATCAACAAAGTAATAACACGTATCAGAAGGACAGAATCTGATTTTCAAAAAGTCTTGACAGACAAAAAATATTAGATGCCACAAGGATATGACAAACTAGAACTTAATCCAGATTTGTCGTACAAGGAATGCCTGAAAGAAACGGATTTGTTAATAGGTAAGATTCTGGAGAACACATCCTCATGCTCTTCAATCTAAATTAACTTCCATATCGTGTTGCAGAGAAATTAAGTTTTAATAAGGAGGCTTCAATTCAGGGATGCAAATTTCAGCTCAAACTGATCAACTTTCTGACAATTAGATGCTTAAAAATGAAGATGTATCCCCTTGCAATGGATTTCAAACAGAAACTAGATCATCACTTCCTAGAAATGTTGTAAGGCATATTAATAAATCAAAATGATTGGACCAAAAGATTTCTAAAGCTCCAACTCTAAGATTCATGTTCTTTGCGTTTTGGATTATACTTGCCTAACCACATACATGTGTTGCCACTGTTTCTCCTCTCTATCAGTATTCTATAAGAATAACAAATTAACGACTAAAAAAGTGATAGGTAATAAAAAGGTAGACAATGAGGAAAGAAAATTTAATCAGATAAAATGCCGTGTCCTTTATACATTTCTCCTATTAAAGCCTAAATATCTTGAAATTTCTATTTAGAAAATACTTTCAGAAGGTAGTCAAAAAAATAATGCCAAATGGTCAAAGGGCTGGTAGATATTTATGGACTGAAAAGCTTTTTTAAAACAACTTAGCAAGCACAATTTACACTTAATGGCCACAAGATCCACACACATCCTACAACAGAAAATTCAAGTACCAAACTAGGGGCTAGAAATGGCAAAAAAGACTGTAAGAGATAAGGCCTGCATATTCTAAAAGTCACCATCTGATTTCACCAAGACTGACAAAAAATTTTAAATAAAAACCTATTCACTTTCATGGAAAACTAAATTTGAAAATGTAAAAGAACATTAAAACTTCTAAAGAGAAATTTCAAAATTATTGCAGTCAGTCCATACAAAAAGCTCTTAAATAAACAAAATAATGCATTAATGAAGAGCTCACCCGTTTTAAAATTTTGACCTTGTGCTTCACTGTATCATCTATATATTTGGTTCTATCATTTGTTGTGTGTTTTGATAATCCAAGCTTTTCACACTCCATTGTTTTATCTCCACTATGGAATTCAACTGTAGCTTGGTTTTCCAAAGTATCTGGATCTAGTATTTCAGTCTTTTTGTCTTCTTCAGCACAACATTTTACACAGACATATTCTTTGTCTTCCTCGCCCATCTGCTGTGCTTGAGAAAGACTTAACCCAACACAATCACCATGAAACCAGTCATCACATCTCCCACAGCCAACCATAAACCTGGAAAACAGAACACCAAAAAACTTTTATCCCTTTTTTTAACAAGAAAATCTATGTCAAAAATGAGGCTAAATTAAATTTTCAATATCTGATTTTCTGAAACTTTGCATGTTTTCCATCTCTATCCGTTCCATAAGTTCAACATACAGCAAGTTTTCAAAGAAAATAATATTCTATTAAAATGATACCTTTAAGACCTCAAATATTTCTCCTCTGGTATGAATGAGAAAATGCTGGGGGAGGGAGGGGACAATAAACCATCAGGAAGAAAAGACAACTGGCCTTTGTCAGTCTTGAATACTATAAACAATAACAAAGTATAGACTAACAATAAATTTATCCACTGAGAAGGGTGGTAAGATCTTGGTAATAATTTCATCACGGACAATCCATCAAAGTTACAGCTACCTACCTCACCACAGACGTGACATCACATATAAAATTGGGAAGAATTGTTTATCCAACAAATCGTTTTAAATAAAAGAAAAAACCAACAATAGTAACAAAAATGGAACTCAAAAACTAGCATGATGGAGCCTCTCAAACTGTTTATTAGCCACCTTACCTAGATAACCTCAAAATATTCTGGTTCATGGTGTCACGCTGATTCAGCTAAAGAATCTTTTTCTGTACTTTTAAGTTCAAAGGACTTCCTTACTAATGACCATGTGTTTTAGATAAATTTCTTTTTCCAAATAAAGATCACTATTCTATCTTAACATAAAAATATTAGTACTTGGGTTGGATTTAATTCCCAATCTCCTTATAAAAGTTTTCCCATCACTGTCTTTTAGCTAAGTAATAACTTCACTAACCAATAGGAAAAGTCCAGGGATGTGAAACGTATGACTCTAAAAAAGCTTCTATCTTTCCAGTTTAAAAGGAGTATCTATAACTACTTTTGAAAATAATAGCAAATGAGATATATACACAGCAATTTAATTTACCTGCTTTTTAACCCATGGTTAGGAAAGCTGCAATGCTTTCAGACAACCATCCTTAACTTTGTCCTTTTTTCATCTTCAGGCTAGCAATTTATGATACAGCTGAAAGACTTAGAAGGATTTAGGTATGTACTTTAACAATCTAAAGACCGTGCTACTGATTTTGATAATAGTGGCACCACCAATAGTACCAAGCTCCTTTCAAAAAGCTGTAATCCAAGAGAGAGGATATTGAAGGTAACACACTGGGTGATATGGTCAATTCAAAATATACCAGAGGTACTGTTTTAATGTTAAAACTGTAAAAACTACAAGAGTGAGTTCCAATCCTTACAGTGTTTTTAAAGTCTTGCCAAATACCTCATTCCTCAATAACAGCACTTCCTTTTCTTCTTCCTCATGTGCCTATTGTGTATAAAACCACTACTATGCCTTGAGACTTGACTTCATCACATCTATAACTTATCATTCTTTATCCTTGCTGGTAATACCTGTGCTAGCTTTAGCAGGTTAAGTCCTCATTTCCCTAGGGATTAATTTGGTTTAAAAAAATAATATAGAATATTTGGGGTTGACAAGCAAGAAAACTTTCGAACAATGTTAACACACGTTTAGAAGACAGAAATAATTCCTACAGGTTTGAGATTTTTGATGGGCCCATAATGATACAGATATTCTAGCAAAAGTGGAATAAAGCTTGAAATGCAGGTGTTTAAAAGTTCTCCCACTTCGAGTTGCAAAGCTAAAATATTAAAAATGATTATTTGTAATGAGCATTGTAGCTTTCCTAACAATGGGCTAACTGCTATTTCTTGAAAGCAACTGTCTAACATGAATGTTTCTGAAATGCTGAAGGAAAGCTAATGATTTCCCTTTACTTCCACAATCAAAGGTATATTAAGATTTCTTCAAAGCAAGTCTGGGATAGTTTCAGTGAGACATGACTTAAAAACCTACAGTACAAATAATGCTATTGTTCCAAATCCAAACCTAAAGGTCAAAATATAAAGCACATATTAAGGAATTTTCACATTTTTATTTCACAACCAGGGAAGAGTGGTTTGATGATCGTGAAATTTATCAAGCAATTCTTTCAATAAGCCTCATTTCAAGTTGGAAATGTCTCATTCAAACTTGAGAGGCTATAAAAAGCAAAACTCTAGTGCCATCTACAGATGTATCTTAATAGTTTATATTTTAGGTTAAAAAATGCAGTTTTAAGAGTTTTTGAGAGAGAGAAAAGACTCACTCTTCTAAGATCAGAGAATTCTACGTCACATAAACATTAAATCATTTTTGTTACTAACAATCTGCAGAGAAAAATAGAATCATTTGTTCTAGAAGAAAATTTCTTCTCAGAAGTTTTCTTGTTTGAAAGCTATAAATCCATTTTCTAAGTCTGTTTGTTTTTTAAATATTATCTGATATACTAGTCTTCTACAATTGGGGCCAAGAAAGTGTAATGCAAACTAAAAACTCAAGCATCTTCTGGAGAAGTAGAAAAACAGAAACCACAAGGTAAATAACATGAAAAAACTAAGACTTCCTCCTTACAAAATGCCAACTGACTTACGTTTAAAAGAAGTTCAAAAGTTGCATTAATTTTAAAAATCAGAGGATTAAATAATCTGGTCTTTAAAATCATACACCTTTGATGTAAGTTTGAATCAGGAAAATAAAAGGAAGCAATAAAAATCTAGCATATGTTGCTTCTTTAAGGGTCTACTGTCTTTAGGATATGCATAGAAGTTGCTTATGATTAATATCACATCTAGCCATGACACAGCTATATTACAAAATATAATTTCCAACTGGGAGCACACACAAGGAAACTAACTTCAACTGCAATACGTAAAATGATAAAGCGTTTATATAGTCTTTACAGAGGCAAAGCTGTTGCAAATGCTAGAAAATGTGTCATATTAACAAACAGCTTTCAATGTATCTAGTGCATGAAATCAAAGAGAAGGATCAAAATTATTTCCAAACATGCCCTTTCTAATAAATTTATATTCTTACACAAGGATTAGAATAGGAAAATTGCAACCTGCATGACAGGTGCATTTTCTGAGTAAACGAAATGTATACAAGCACAATGTATCAAAGTAGTAGAATCACAGTAGTAGTGAAGGCTAGTTAATATGTAAAAACAACAATCAGCTGGGCGCCATGGCTTGTGCCTGTAATCCCAGCACTTTGGGAGGCTGAGGCGGGCGGATCACCTGAATTCAGGAGTTCGAGACCAGCCTGGCCAACACGGTGAAACCCCATCTCTACAAAAAATACAAAATAAGCTGGGCATGGTGGCATTTGCCCGTAATCCCAGCTACTTGGGAGGCCGAGGCAGGAGAATCACTTGAACTCAGGAGGTGGAGGTTTCAGTCAGCCAAGATCACACCACTGCTCTCCACCCCTGGGCAACAGTGAGACTTTGTCTTAAAAACAAGAGAAGAGGAGGGGAGGGGAAGGGAGGGGGAAGGGGAGGGGGAGGAGGGGAACGGAAGGGGAAGGGGAGGGGGGAGGAGGGGAGGGGGGAGGAGGGGAAGGGGGGAGGGGAGGGGGAGGGGAGGGGAAAAAAACAATTACATAGGCTTTTTTTTTTTTTTTGAGACGGAGTCTTGCTCTGTCACCCAGGCTGAAGTGGAGTAGCATGATCTCGGCTCACTGCAAGCTCCGCCTCCCGGGTTCACGCGCCATTCCCCTGCCTCAGCCTCCCAAGTAGCTGGGACTACAGGCGCCCGCCAGCACGCCCAGCTAATTTTTTGTATTTTTAGTAGAGACGGGGTTTCACCGTGTTAGCCAGGAAGGCTTTAATTCACAAAATTGAAGTAATCGAAAATTCTGCTTCCATAATTGTTTCCAATGTTAAATTATTCACATCAATTACAGAGTGTAAACCCAAAATCTCTATGCACCTGACATTCTAAGTCATTCTACAGACTTGAGCAAAAACACTCTAGATTCTATACAGTAGATCCAAAAGGTGGCAGCAAGTAAACAACAACAAAGGGACTAACACCTACTCTTAATTTAGGAAAATTATTAAATGTTGGTGAAGCATGAGTCATCATTAAAAAGCCTGGGCAAACTCCTGAAGACTGGACTGGAACTTTATCTACAAGGTTAGTACGTTACATTATAACTTACTAACATGGCTTCCAACTCTATGCCAAAGTTTCATGTTAGAAATTCATTTACTTAAGGCACCTATTCCATCTCTCTGTCCACATGATAATTTTTTAAAGATTCTGGCAGAGAGAAAAAGGCTGGTTTAAAGGAGCACTTAAAAGCACCACCTAACTCTTAATTCTCTTTTGCCTGAAAACAGCAGGCCCACTTCAGAATATTTGAGTAATGTGTTCATTTATTTATGGAGACAGTCTCACTTCGTCACCAGCTAGAGTGCAGTGGCTCAATGTCGGCTCACTGCAACCTCCATTTCTCAGGTTCAAGTGATTCTCATGCCTCAGTCTCCCACATAGCTGGGATTATATGCATGCACCAGCACACCCAGCTAACTTTTGTATTTTTAGTAGAGACGGGGTTTCACCATGTTGGCCAGGCTGGTCTCGAACTCCTGACCTCAAGTGATCTGCCTACCGCCCACCTCAGCCTCCCAAAGTGCTGGGATTACAGGCATGCGACTGCGCCTGGCTGAGTAAGGTGTTTTAAATAAAAAAACCATATAATTAAGAGCATGTAAGTGACAGTGAATGTAGCACTGTATTCAAACAAGTGACAACTTTTAAAAACTGGAATATATTGTTATAAACTAACCCTTGACGCTAAAAATAGGCCACGGGCTGGATCACAAATGAAGAAATACTTTGACATAAAACTTATTTTACACAATAGCCCCAACATCTCCTTTCCGATCTCCCCAATCACCCTAACACCACCAAAATAATATGTTACAACACACTTTACTAAATTGTCCCTCCCTAAAGAGCTTCATTTTTATGTACTAAGATAGTGCTGGGAAAAATCACTCTAGCACACTTTCATGAATAAGGATAAGAAGAATATAATATACAAATTATAATGTTCTTTTATCATATCAGCATTGAAAGAAGTTCCAACAGCAATATGAACACTTGAACAGAATAATCTGGTAGCTGCAAACTCCACTTCATCTCTTGCTTTCCTTTTCTTAAAAAGCTAACAAAAAACACATTGGGGATTGAGGGGTGCAGTGTCATAAAACTACAAATCACTGAATACTAGAAAGAATGATGAAAGTCAGTGCTAAAATCATCTCAAATTTTAAAAAGACTAGAATTCACAAAAAATTATTTAAAACATTCAAAAAAAGAAATACGTTTTTCACTCTATTTCATGTTGACCTGGGTAATCTAACAATTGTTTAGCTGTCAAATTTCACTGCAAGATAAAGTTTGATAGTTATGAAATGGTGTTCTTTAATATGTTTCATTTTAAGAAAAAAAAAAACTTCAAAAGAAAAATAGAATTTCCATTATGACCTTCATACTTTATTACTAGTTCTTCTCACACCAAATGAATTAATATATAACTTACAGACCCAAAGCAGTATAACAATTTTCCAATTACCAGGAAGTGTTTGGCTTTTTTGCAGATGCAGTGGCTAAATTACACTGTCTAACCTGTGACAATGACAAAATATTTCCATGTATGTCAGCTGTTGGCCAGACTATGCTTTTTTAAATGTTCTAGGATGATATATTTGTAAATTCAGTAGATCCATCTTTCTATCATTTATCCAAGACTGATGAAGCTTTTTGTTTTTGCACAGGTCTCTGTGTATCAAATAATGTCTTTAAAACAATTCTCACATTAATCCCACCCCCAAAAAAGCAATTTATTTTCAATGTACACATCACTCATACACACATACACACACACCTGTTGCCATGTGGTTTTTTGCAAAACCCACACTGCTTGCTGGGAGTCCACATATATTTGCTTTCAAATGAGGAGCTATGATCAGAGCCTTCTCTTCTTATGGTAGCTATGTTATCTGGAATGAACAATGGTGGCTCATCTAAAGAAAAACTTTTGCTGCTTCTTCTTTGGCGGGGTTGTAGGTTCTTCTCAGGTTTTTTCAGTTTCAGTTTATCCTCTTCCTTAAAATGCTCAACGCCTGGGTGTTCAAGCTCTTCCTTCACGTGACTATTGGTTTTCATTGCTGGGGCCTGTTGCTGAGGCTTATGACACTGTTTCTGGCTAGAATGTGATACATGTCCAGTTTGTGCAGGATGATGAGGTTCTTTCAAGCAACCAGGATGAGCGTGTGACTTATCACTCAAAGAATGAGTTAAGGGCTTGAAAATTTGTACTAAAGTTTGATCCTGTAATGTTTTTTTCAGTACAGAATGAGCTTGGTTTTTCACAGATTTAACCCCAGAATTGCAACTCTGAATCTTTGGCTCCTTATCAATTTGTTTTTTTCTGACTTTGACTGGCCTATGAAAATTTTGCTGAGATTCTGGTACATCAGTATTTCGTTTCACACTTTTGACATTAACTTTAGTTTTGCTATGTATTACTTCATACTTTGCTGCAACAATTTTCTTCGGAGCATCTGTGGTCATGTTTTGCTTAGAATGAATTACAGGTTTTGTATGTTTGGATTTTACACTTTTTGACTCTAAGTAAGAAACGCTACTTGACTGGCTGTTTCTGTCATCCTGAAGGTTTGCTGTTTCATGGGACTCTATTTTAGTACTTTCTATAGCATTCAACTGTTTTGAATTTTGGTCAGGCACATCACAAATAGCATTTTCCAAGATATTACTTTCCGGTCCAAAAGTACTAGTATCAACCACCTCTAAGTTTGATTTATTAAACTCAGTGCTCTCCAACTGCCTATTAGACTCCGCATCTTCACAATAACCCAACGGTTCAATTTTATTTCTTTCAAGGGTGTTCTCAGTTTTATCAGCAATACCCATGGTATCCTTCAATTCCAAATTACATTCAGTCACTTCATCTACACAACTAGGCAAACCTACAAGGCTGTTTTCTGTCTTATTTGGATTTGTACAAGCAGCATCACTAGAAATATCAGAAGATCCAGCGTCCTCAAGAATATGGTCATCTTCATGGGATAATTTTACTGTCTCCTTTGAATCTTGTTCAACTTTTCTTGTTGCTATCATTTCTTCAACAACAGTCTCACCCGTTTTACCTGAAATGGAATCATTTTGTTCATGTTCTTCTTTATCTGAAAACTTAAACAATGGACTACCAACAGGCTTGGCTTTACATTCCATCAAAGCTTCATTTTTCTTTTCTCCAATAGTAACACAAGTCTCTGAAAGAAGTGAACAATTTAATTCATGAGATGGCACATCTATTTCTCCCGGATTATTACACTTATGCTTAGAATCTAATCCATCTTCATCCTTCATTTCAAGACAAGATGACACTGAAGAATGACTTGAAGACACTGATACTTCAGGTACCACTTCAATTTGTCCGCTATTTCGGCTGCACCTTCTATTCTCCTTATGGTACTCAGGTTTCAGTGACATACATACTTCTTCTTTAACCTGACTCCTTTCTGGTTGTTTCACTCCTGCTTTAGCAGTAGATACAGTCTTCCCAGATGCTTTTTTTGTGTTACTTAATGGTGCTGCATTTGAACGCTTGGCAATAGTGCTCTGTCGCAAACTTCTTACTTGTTCTATCACAGGGGGAAAAAATAAATAAAAATACTTAGCTATTTTGTCATGTGCTTTTATTTCAATACAATTTAGAATATATCACTTCTTTATTCTGAGCTATAATTTGCTCAACAAAAATGTATTGAACAGTACTCATAATGGTGACATGATATATATACACATATATATAATTTAACATATGTCAAATTTTATATTTATCAAAGTTCTCTGAATTCTAGCAGGGGGAAAAGCCTCTAAAAAATTCAGACTAATATTATACCTTATTAAAAGAAATGTTTTCATCAAATCTCTTTTCCATAAAAAGTAACCTAGGAGTGACGTAAGTAAAATGAGCTTCCTTTACCATTAATGCCCATATTAAAGCAAGACCATCATGGATTTTTAAACATTAAATATTTCTAAATATATAAAACCAAATATATTCCAGTGCTAAAGAAACCTGAACTAAAAACCTCCTATCACAAACCAGGATCTGTGCGAGTTTCAAAATACAGCCTCAAACGGACTCTAATTCCTTTATCAATGTGCTTCCCTTAGGTCACCATTTTAGCATTAAAGCTATTCCTAAGAAATGATATCAACACAGAGTACCACATACAGCTCATCAAAAAAGAAACACAATTTAAAAGACTTAAACCAAGCAAATGTATCATAAGGAAAGTATGAAAATTTAAAAGCTTCCCACACAATGCTCCTAATAGTCCATTAAATGAAAAGAGTTTCATTTCCCTATTCTGATACATCCCCCCCTTGTATCAGGAGAAAGGAGAAACACAAAATGAAAAGAGCTAAAAAGAAAGAGAGCTAAATAATTCAGTAAGTACAAAAACAACCCACAAACTGAATTTGTCATTTATCACTGAACTGTGAGAATCTTTAAAAAGGTAAATGTCCAGGTGTTGCTCGTAGTTCTGATCTAGTATTAATAGCACACTTTCATTTTCAAAAGTATGCCCAATTTGAACAATAAAATTATATAGTCATCCTTATCTTAGAGACCCTTTCTAATTCCCATAGGACACAACAAAGTATCTGAGTATTAGGTTAAGTACTTAATAACTTTTAAAAATTACTTGGTGGGTTATGAACTATTTATCACATATTCAGTTATAAAATTTTTTTAAATAACTAAAATTTTAATAAAGCTTTGTTTCAATATTTAGGTGATCTTTAAAGCTTTAAAGACAGATTATAGTAATTTACAGCTCTATTCATCCTTGAAATGAAACAAATGAAGGATTTTAACACTTATTACACATTAATAAATAAAGATCTTTTAACACCCAAGCGGTTGCTAAAAATGACAAAAGAATAGTATATTCAGCTGTGAAGGATTTTCAGATAAAAAGTGGTTTTCCAATAGGAAGCAATTTATTAAGCAAAGGCTAAAGTCACTTTTTCTCCTCTAAATATTACCTGCCTTAGTTTGAAGCCTGATTCTATAGGCAAAAAAGTTTTATTTTCCTACAATGTTTATTCTATTCTTTTCATTTCTCAAAGCCACACGTATATACCAAATAACTGATTTTGAAAATGTATTAAAAACATAGATCAAGAAAAGATGATGAAATAAATACATGGATCTAAATTTATTCACTTCTCAAAACCCTACTGAAGCTATAACAGCGGGACATTTTTTGAAAAGTCCAAAAGGCAAGGAAGAACGAGAGAGGAAAAACCAGCAGCAAATTTTGGAAACCAAACAAGAGATGATTACCAAGTATTTGACATAAGAGACCCAAAAGTAATTAATAAAACACTAGGCTGGCAGTGTTGGCAAAAACTAACACCATTAACACCTCAAAAGTCTTAAGACTTGGTGGTCCCAGATGATTCTAAAGTGGGAATGAAGACAGATGCTTAACACTTAGAAGGGCTGAAAGCTCTTTAAAAGTAGCAGTTAGATTTCTAGATCCCTCTTTCCCCTACTCCATTTGTTGGGCAACTGCCCTTCCCTAGTCCTGAGCCAAAACTCGTAGCTTATTCTCTGGAGATAGTAAAGCAAGGTTTCTAGGCTAAAGAACATGAGGCACAGTTGAGACTGGCTGTAAAGTACATTGAAATTTGTAAGATTAAGTGAATTTGTATATACTGAAATCTGAGAAACCCCAGTCAGTTTCCCTTACAGGCTTCCATAATATGCTAGCAATCTAATAAGTTATGGAAAATAACCTAAATTCTGATAGGAAGGGTTCTGCCAAACAACAGTACAGCCAGATTGCTATACACTGACGCTCATAGCTGGTAAAACCCAATCCCCACACTTAGAAGTTTCATAATTTTAGTTCCCTACCCTTAAACATGAGCAATAATCAAGGGTCAGACATTTCAGGAGAGCATCTAGGAAAGATGGAGGCCAAAACCTTTTTAAACATTTTTTTTAAAATAATGCAACATTGAGAAGTCAGAAACTATGAAAGGAGACAAAAACTGTTTAAAACGCCATTAGTATCTTAATAAAGACAAAAGAAGATACTACATCCATGAAACATGAATAGAACACTACAGAAAGGACCATTCTCAAAACAACAACAAAAAGAACATTTAAGAATCAGAAGTACAAAACTTGACTGAAAAGTTGGAGGATAAATATGAGAAAATTTAAGCACGTTAAAGAAAAATTACAAAGAGGTAGGAAGTAGGCAAAATAAAGAAAACAGAGGGACCAGTCCCTGTTATGTAACAAATAATAAAGGTTCCAGAAATCAAGAGCTAACAAAATAAAGAGAGGAATTAACAATGAAATAATTTGAAAAATTTTCCCGGAATTGAACAATAACATTTTTCAGACTAACAGGATCTACTGAGTGTCTTGAGCTCCATACACAAAATACACCAAAACCAATACATATCATCATGAAATATCAAAACACCAAAGCTGAAGAGCAAGATTCCACAAACTTCCAGAAGAAATCAGATAACATACACTCCTACACACACACATCAAAATAAACTTCTCAACAACCCTGAAGTTAGAAAAAAATGGAGCAACACCTTCAGAATTTCTGAAGGAAAATGATTTCCAACCTTGAATTTTACATCCAACCAGACCATGATTCCAGTATGAGAATAGACTAAATACAAGGTAAACATACAAGGTTTAAAAAGTGTATCTCACAGCTCCTTTTTCTCACAAAACTACTGGAAGAGGTGCATCACCAAAATAAAAAAATTGAATCCAGAAAGAGGAAATAGGAACTACAACAAAAGCACAAAGCACAGACTTCCAGAAAAATGGTAAAGGGAGATCCCTGAACAGCTTTGCATCAGGCTCATAGGACTAACAGGAGTCTGTCTACATAAGAGGGGATCAGAAGGCTCCAAGAGGTGTTTTCAATAAAATGGATATGACAGAATACCTGAAATACACAAATATCTTTAGGGTAGATTTAGACAACTGGTAGAGCAGTTTTAGTATAACTGCTGGTATGTACACACTAAACAACTGAGAAACTAAAACACTTAAATCAGAAACACAAGAAGTCATACAAGAAAAGTAACTGTAGTTTATTAAATGTATCATCTCTAATAGCATATTACTCATACTAACATAATTACCATTGATCTAACAAAATTATATGATGGGGACAAGTAGCAGGAAGAAAACCATCCACAGTGGGAAGTCAATAGATGGATGAATAATAAATCAGAATAATCAAAAAACAGCAACATATGCATGTTACCTAGAGCTATAAAGGTAAATACCAAAAAAAAAAAAAAAAAAAAAAATTAAACCAGCTCAGAGTTACTAGTGGTTTCCCCTGGGGAAGGAGAAATGGGTAGTGTGGGGTGGTGGGTACTGAAAACTTATACAACAAATTGATATGATCTCAAAACTGATTGCCATCAAAACGAATGGATTAGCAAAACATCAAGAAAATATGATTTCTGCTCAGCAGGTTTATAACCTAACACATCTGTCCCTATACCTCTAATTTTCTAGCTAGACCTCTCTCAAAGGATTACCTTGTGCCATTAAACGAGGTGATTTTCTTGGAGATCTCACTGAATTTTCTTCTACCTTGTCCCTTAAGTTCCTGTTAGGTAAAATCAGTTCTTCTTCATCAATGGTATCATTGCCACTTTCTTTAACAACTCCTTCATCCATAATATCGTCAAGACCAACAACTAGAAAAAAACGACAAAAAAATTAACTTTTAAAAATATTGGGAATGTTAGGCAATTAAAGGCAGTACAGAAAATACTGTGAGATAGTCTTAATGTAACACTACATACTCTTGAAAATCTGGAATGTGAAATTTTCTAACATGTGAAATTGCCACTACCAAACTCCCAAATCAAGTCAGTTTTATAAACTTCCACCTTGTAAAGTAATTAGTCAAAGAGAGTATTAGCTATATTATACTCTTTCCTGATTTAGCCTCAAATATCACTTCCATTTATTACTTGCTGACCCCTTGTGAAAGACATAGGTGACTATACCTGGAGTACTCAAGTATCACAATTTTGGTTAAGGTAGTACAGGAGTTCCATACCCTGAAAGATTCTAGGTTCATGCTAGAATCAAAAATTCTACTTCTAACTGGGATCCCAATACTCTACTACAGACTTTATGCTACATGTATGAAAGCAAGCAATGCAGATGTACTTTTGACTGGTACCAAAAGAAAAAAAAAACAGGAAGAAACGGAAAAAAACAGAGAGAGGAAAAAAATGAAAAACATAATGTAACTTCCCCTTCCCCCAAATGCTGGAGAAAATAGTAGATGTTTAATATAGCTATATAATTACATTACCTTCTCCTAGTCAAAAGAGAGACAGACTCATGTATTTAATTTGTGGGGTGGAGAAAGAATGTAAAAAGACTCAGGAACAGTCAAAGAAATAGTAACACCGTACTCATATTGTCATTAGGTTTATTTCTGTGTAGAACAAATGCCACTTAGCCAACATGTATCAGTAATTCTAAATGTGCAGTTGTATGAAATCTTGCCAAAAAGAACGTGATTATTTAGACCAGCAAGTCTGGATTCAAATCCTTACTAGAACGTTTAAAAAAAAAAAAAAACACCTTTATCAAGTCACTTAACCTCTCTATCAGTTTCTTTACCTCTAAAATGAGAATAACAATACCTGTCCTACCTACCTCACAGGGCTGTTGTGAGGATCAAGTGAGATGATGTATGAGAACTCACTCTGTAAACTTTAGAGCACTATACAAATGTTAGTTATTATCTTCATCCTAGGGGTTAGAAGGAACCTCAAGGAGTTATCTAGTCCTCATCTTTGTGTCCAAGTAGAACTTCATTTAAAAGAGCTCAACAAGATAGTGGTCTATCCTAAAATTTAAAGAGAACAAAATTCTTCATAAGTTTACCTTTAAATGACACAATCTTTTTGAAGAGCAATTTGACAACAAACAGAATCATGAAACTGCTCATATGCTTTGATCAAAATAAATTTAAAGAGAGGAAAGAATGGATTATGAAGAAAATGCTGACCAGAAAACAGTGTGATCCTTGTTAGAAACAAACACACAAATAAAATGCATGCATATGTACATTTAGATAGAAAAAAAAAAAAGATTGGCAGAAAACAGATGAAAATTATACCAGTAATCATACACAGTAATTCTTATCCATAAACAGATAAGAATATACCTTTTTCCTATTTTCCAAATTTCCTGCTATAAGCATGTATTATAAAAGTAAAAATAGAGCCCACGCTTTTAACCATTATGCTATGCGCTAAAAGTTTGGAGGAGAATATGCTTTAGAAAAATTAATCAGGATTAATTTAAGATATAATTTGTGTAAAGACAGGTAGGAACTCCAGTTAGGCTATTCCACCATGATGGAATATTGGTTGCCACACATTCACATACATCCTCAGGTTTTTGTTGCTGTTGTTTTTTGTTGTTTTTTGTTTTTTTTTCTTTTTTTTTTTGAGACGGAGTCTCACTCTTGCCCAAGCTGGAGTGCAGTGGTGCGATCTTGGCTCACTGCAACCTCCACCTCCCAGGTTCAAGTGATTCTCCTGCCTCAGCCTCCCAAGTAGCTGGGAATACAGGTGTGTGCCATCATGCCCAGCTAATTTTTGTATTTTTAGTAGAGACGGGGTTTAGCCATGTTGGCCAGGCTGGTCTCGAACTCCTGACCTCAGGTGATCCGTCTGCCTTGGCCTCCCAAAGTGCTGGGATTACAGGTGTGAACCACTGCACCCAGCCTCAAAAAAGTTTTGACATTAGATTACAGGTCTACTATGCTCCTTTAAATACATAAATTTTAAGACTACTTTTCATTAATTCTGTAGAAAAGCATATATATATAGTATATGCATTACAAAGATGCATAAGAAACATTAATAGGAAAAACACAACAGACTGTTCAATCAGTGATTTAGTTGTAAGGAATTTTGCCATTGCTGTTGTTTTTTAACCTTCATTATACTTTCTCTGACTTTTCCAAGTTTTCTATAATGAGCATGTATTCTACAATGTAAACAGGAGAAAAAAAGAACCATCCAAAATAGAAAAACAGACCAGAAGGAAAGCCTGATGAATAGTGTTTGTTGACAGGGAGTGAAGTCATGTAATGAATTTTAGAGCTGTATTACAAAGCAGAATCAACAGGATTTCGCAAGCCAAATCCAAAGGTCAATTATCAGGTTTTAAATTATTCCATTTCCTAGCAGCATCTGACACAGCTGATTCCTCTCCACTTTCTGAATCTCCTTTTTTTTCACTTCACTTCTGGGATACCACATCCTCCCATTTCCCTAGCCACTTGTCAACAGCCTTTGATAAAGCCTTCTCTTCCTGCAGACATCTACATACTGAAGGATACAACAGTTCAGTCCCCCCATCTTTCTTCTTTATCTACACTCATACTCACTCATCCCTTCACACTCACTTATCCCTAAGGTGATCTTATCCAGGCCCATCTATACTCTAATGATTCCCATAGGTATCTTCTCCAGCCCGAAGCTCATGAGACCTTCAGAAGAGTGTAATCTGACATCTTCATTAAGTTGTCTAATAAGTACCTCAAAGTTAACATACCAAAAATAAACACTGATTCTACCAATCCTCCCTCCCCCTCAAAAAACTGTTCCTCCCAAGGTATTCAGAGTAAATGGAACCTCCAAATCACCTAGTTCAATTCTAAAACTCTAGAACTGTCCTTAGCTCCTCTCCCCATATCTGACACATCCAAGCTATCGGCATATCCTGCTAGCTTTATCTTCAAAATGTATCACACATCTGACCAGCTAACATGCTACTCCCAAATCACATCTCTCATCTAAGACTGTAACAGCCTCCTAGTGTCCCAGGTTTCTCTACTGCCATCCCCTCTCCCCTGACAGTTTATTCTCCACACAGTTATCACTGTGATCCTTCTAAAATATTAAGTCAGATCACGTTAATATTCTTCTGTTCAAAATCCTCTAAAACCTTCCCAACACATTTAGACATAAAGCCCAAAATCCTAGCCAGGGCCCACAGGGTCCTATAACAAGATCTTCTCCTGCCAACTTCTTTGACTTCATCTCCTCCCCCTGCTGATTCACTCTCCTCCAGTCACACTGGCTTTTCCTGAACATAGGGAAGCATAAGCCCATCTCCAGGTTTTTGCACTTGCTATTCCCGCTGCATGAAGGCTCTTCTCCCAAATACCCATAACTCATTCTTTCCCTTCCTTCAGGTTTTACTTACATGTCACCTTCTCAGAGAAACCTTCCCTAACCACCTTATGCAAAACAGCACATATTCCCATTACTGCCTATGGATCCTTAGCATACTTTATCCTTTAAAATGTTTCTCTATATGACATTAAGTATCTGACAGTCTTCTCCACTAGAGTGTAAGCTGCACAGGTAAGGACCTTTGTCTCCTATTTGTGGCTGAATCCCCAGAACCTAGAATAACAACCTTGTGTATAGTAGGTATTCCAGAAAATATTTGCTGAATAAAAGAATTATGAGAAAAGACAGACTGGGAGAACTTAAGCCTTGATGAGTGAGAGAAAATGTTTCTATTGACCAAACAGAGAAGTTGGAAAGAACAAATTTGGAAGTAACATACTGACTTCACTTTTTTGATATATTGAAGACATGAAGGAAAAAGATCAGACAAAAGATGCATCAAGGTAAAGCAACATCACAAAAATTTCAAAGTAGTGGGAATCAGGAAGGTTAACTGCTACACAAAGAACGAATAAAGGAGAGAAATCCACTAGTTTGACACACAAAGCAGAGAATCAGATGAGAAGGAGTTAAGAAGTAAGTAAATGAAGAATGACAATAATTGTAGTCGCTTTTAAGTTTAATGGAGGAAAGTGAAGAGAAGGAAGGGGACAGAAGAGGGAAAAATCAACAGAGATCTGACCATGTTTATATGTGCTGGAAAATAACTTGGAAGGTAAGTGATGACTTGAGGTTCTATCATTGAACAACCTCTTGGTCAACAATCTACAATTAGAATAACTAAGACTGCATTTGAGATGTTTCTCAAAGGTAAGATTTCCAAGCATGCATCTTTTTTTGAACTCCTGCTCCTCCTGACAACACACTTCCTTCAACTCAAAAATCCATTTCTACATTAAATCAAGCTCTACATTGCCTTCAGAGTTTCCAGAGCTCTCATGCTGAACATTCAAGAGCCCCAACAACAGAAGCACCTCCAGTATGTTTTTTCTTCCCACCTATATTCCAGAACTAGGTACTAGGTGCCATTCTCATTTTTACCCCCAAGTCTGAAACTTAATGCCAACTTTATAACAGAGGAAATAACTGATCTAGAAGTAGTTAAGCTGAGTTTGACCTTTGTGCTGCCAGCATAATCATCACATAACAAATGTGAAAAACTCCCTACTAGTCCTGCCTTGTAATTTTCCTTTTTGTGTGGTATTAAAGTGATTTAAACCAATCCCTACTGTTGAGAAATGGAATAAATTTAACCCCAAATGGTTCTGAAATTTTGGCATAAAATCCATGATCATACTCAGAAATCTCTTCGAGCCTGATTTTACATCACATTCAAATTCCTCCCATCCCAACCCCAAATTGCCCTAATTAAACTTGCTTAAGTGAAGTCCTCCTGACCTTGATACTATTTTAACTCCAGACTATGTAATTTAAACCTATCTTTTTGGAAAGGGGACAAATGAGATAAAGAGAATAAAAACCATTCAGAGTTAAATTTATTGCACTGCTCAACAATAGAGATTTGTTTAAATCACTTTAATACCATACAAAGGGGGAGAATTACAAATCAGTAACAGGAGGGACTCTTCACATTTGGAATGCGTTAATTATGCAGGCAGCACAAAGGTCAAACTTAGCTCAACTATTATACTTCTACGTCGGTTATTTCCTCTATTACAAAGTTGGCAGTAAGTACCAGACTTGAGGGGGAAAAGAACATATCTGTGCAGTATCACAACAATAAAGAATAGATATCTACTTTATAGGGGCTGTGTTAAGTATAGTAAGAAAATATGTGAACACCTCCTCTTAACAGAGCCCCTACACCTTACCCCTCTAACATCGCAGGAGATCACCAGTCTCTACTTGACCACCCGTTGGTAAGAGTTCTTTCCTTCATGAATGAGTAACAGATTCACTCCAAAAAGAGGCTGAGGTATGATACACTACATCGAGTTGTATGTTACATACAATTAACTATTTGGGAATGAATTTATCCTTGTAGATATTATCATGTTCTTAATTTGAAAAAAATTAACAATGCTATATAAATAATGCTTTTCTTCCCCTCTTCTATTCCTTCTTTACGATACATTTTAAAACACAGGTTCACTGAGTTGAAGATGGTATATATATACACCATATATATGTGTGTGTGTATATATACACACACATATATATTCATTTTTACTCTTAGATATCATCAAATGTCTCTCCAAAAATATAAAATATTTACAGTGCAAAGGGCTTCATATTGTCTCAATAAGAACTCACTAGCACTAATTTCAGATTTTTAAAAGAAACATGGTTACTAAAAAAGCTTGAATACTGTGTGGATTTATACACCGCCTTTTTGTATATCTTTAAGTTTGTCAGTTATTAAGTCAAATTTAAAATTTCCCTATTAATTCTTAAGTACTTTGTATAAGGCAAAAGAGCTTCTATAAAAGAGCAACGAATTCGGCTGCCCAGGAATGGCAGCTTTACCAGATACAGCAAAAGCCACCCCTATCCTTTGACTGAATGTTTTTCTCTGCAATATGGCTTTAGCCCAAACTATGCAAACTCTAAAGACAGATAAGGTGAAATACTTGGCTCCTGTCAACTCCCTTACCTTTATAGTTAAGAGGAGGAGATATTCACCTTTTTGGTACAGCCACAGTTTGGTGCCCATTTGCTACTTTTTCTTACCTGGTAGGTTAGACTTTCAGTTGTAAGGTATTGGGATGCTTTTGCTTAGAAAGGGTCTGGGAGGCATTCCAGTCTCAGGCGGGTACCCTGCCCCCTTGATTTTTCAAGGAACCCTCAGCCCCATCCTTGAAGAAAACATGTTTTGCAAGTTTCTAGAAATCTGAGCCAGAAATTAGAAATCAATTTACTGATTGTTGTAGATGTGAAGGATTAACCTTAACAAACAGACAAGAGGCTGACAGAAGTGAGCTAGGTCTTGCTTATCCTGTTATTAGGTATTTCGTGGAATAAGCAGTTGAAGCTGGAGAAGGACGAGAAGAAACGGTGATTTTTTTTTTTAATGTTTCAGGGGTTTTCTCCTATGGTTATCCTGAGTTGGGGTTTATAAGGCAGCACAGGCTGCCTAATGCTGCTTTTTTATGAACTGAAATCACTTTGGGATATTTTTTCTGCAACACTGGAAAATTTTATTTAAAAACAAAAAATACTTAAGCAGATATCTGTATCTTTTCAATCCTTTTCTAAGAGACAATACTTATTGGGTCTGCACCTCCACACTTGAGCTTGTTAGCGGTGCTGTTTCTGCTGTTAGCCATGTTAAAGTGTTAATCCTGCACATTTGGTAATACAAGATTGTTGACATTAAAAAAAAAAATCCCAAGCATAGACAAAACAAAGAATAAGACAGTGTTGAAGGAAAAACTTGAGGAGAAATAAATTTGAAGGAGCTTTACTGAGCAGTGAACAACTCATGAATCAGGCAGCCCCCAAAATCACAGCAGATTCAGAGAGACTCCTAGGGTGCCTCTTGGTCAGAACAAATTTATAGACAAAAAAGGGAAGGGAAAGTGACATACAGAAATCGGCAGTGAGGTACAGAAACAGCTGGATTGGTTACAGGTTGGTGTTTGCCTTATGTGAACACACTTTGAACACACAGAAGTCTGAGTGGTTCAAGTATGGCGGCTGGGATTGACCAATACTCAGCTATTGTTACAGGCACATACTCCCAAGTTAGGTTTCTAATCTGTCTGCTGTTAAGCTAGGTTACGGCTCATCCACAAGGACTCAAATATAGAAGTAGAGTCCTTCTCAGGCATATTTAGTTTGCTTTAACAGTAGATATCCTATCATGTAACCACAAACCATACCTGTGGAAAACAGAGCAGTAGAAACCTAACCATAAAACATGATCTTCTAATTTCATTAAAGGAGTATCTAAATATAGGACATTATAATAAAGGCTAAAAATGTATTAAAGTGTTTTTTAACCTACCAAGCAACATTATGAAATTAAGAAAAATAAAAAAATACACATTCCAAATTTTCATTTCGATTAGCTCTGTCTGCCCTATGTGTATAAAAACAGGCAGAAAGGAGGCACTTGGCCAGACACTAACCAATTTTAGAAAATCTATGGTGACATAAAGTATACACTCTGTTAATATGAGTATCTGTGTCTGTGGAGAAGGGGAGAATACTTTATGGATTGCTTCCTAATTGTTTAAATATTATTTTTATTTCTTAGATTTTTTTATGCAATAGCACATGAGAAAGTTATTGTCTCATAGTTCATTTATTTATACAGCCCACTAATTACAGACTTGGTTCGGTAAAAAACTGTAAATATTGGCCAGGCACGGTGGCTCACGCCTGCAATCCCAGCACTTTGGGAGGCTGAGGCGGACAGACGACAAGGTCAGAAGATTGAGACCATCCTGGCCAACATGGTAAAACCCCATCTCTACTAAAAACACAAAAATTAGCTGGGCGTGGTGGCACGCAGATCATGAGATCAGGAGATCAAGACCATCCTGGCCAACATGGTGAAACCCCATCTCTACTAAAAATACAAAAATTAGCTGGGTGTGGTGGTGCGTGCCTGTAATCCCAGCTACTTGGGAGGCTGAGGCAGGAGAATCACCTGAACCAGGTAGTCGAAGGTTCCAGTGAGCCGAGATCGCACCACTGCAACTCCAGCCTGGCGACAGAGGACGACTCCGTCTCAAAAACAAAACAAAACAAAACAACTGTAAATATGAATGTAAGCATGTAAACACAACCCTCAGAGATACTAGAACTATTTAGTAACCATGAATTACTTTAATCTGATAAAAGTATTAACTAAACATTTTGAGTACCCTTCATTTGCTATTTCTCTGCTTGGAATGTACTTTACTTGCCTAGGATTTTCAAAAGGCTGGCCACTACGAGTACCTCAGCATGCAGCTACTCTCAATGTTTGAGAGAGGCCTTCCCTAACTAGCCCAAGTCAAATAAACCATGACCTCTGCCACCAAAAAGCAATTAGACATTTTCTATCACCTTACAATTTACTAGGCTGACACAAAAGTAATCGTGTTTCTTCCCATTGAGAGTAATGGCCAAAGCCACAATCAATTTTGCACTAACCTAATACTTGCCGGCTCCATGAGGGCAAGGACTTTGTCTCAAACACCACTCTATCCTCCAGCACTGGAAACAGTCTGGCATATGATAGGTATGCAATAAATATTTGTTAAACAAACAGTACAGTACCAATCACTTTTATCTCAAAGAAAATCATTATACCTTACATACGATTGTTGTAAACTGCTGATCCCTGGAATGTTATTTAATGAAAATCACGTTACTGTAAAACAGGAATAGGTTTAAAAAAAAAAAAGCAGCTCGACCATCTTATAATATGGATCTCATTATTATTCATTGAGTTTCACATTCTAATAAGTCAATTCCCAACTAGGCACTTCATTCTGTAACATTTCAGTTCCATTTACTCAAATATATGAAAAAAACAGACACAAACAGGACCACCAAAAGAGTTCTTAGAGAATCACATATTTTTTTCAGTAAAAGAGGCCAGGAAACTGAGTTAAACAATTTACAGCCCTAATTTGTAGTAGCCCAGGAAAAGACTATTATGCTACTATATGCTCCACTAAATAGAATTAAAACTCCACAAGAGCAGGAATTTGTTATTCTTTTGTTTTCTGATGTATCACTAGTGCTAGAACAGCAGCTGGAACATAAAATATTCAGTCTTAAAACATAGCTTAAATGAACAAATGCATGAGTGCATACAAAAATATCATGGCTCTATCTCAACAGATGAGAACCTCCATGTTCAACTAGACTCAAATCAGGAAGTTATCCTCAGCAATCAAAAGAAATAGAATAAAACACCTCCGCCGGGCACGGTGGCTCATGCCTGTAATCCCAGCACTTTGGGAGGCCGAGTTGGGCGGATCACAAGGTCAGGAGATCGAGACCATCCTGGCTAACGAGACCATCCTGGCTAACGTGGTGAAACCCCATCTCTACTAAAAATACAAAAAATTAGCCAGGCACGGTGGCAGGCACCTGTAGTCCCAGCTACTTGGGAGGTTGAGGCAGGACAATGGCGTGAACCCAGGAGGCAGAGCTTTCAGTGAGCCGAGATAGCGCCACTGCAGTCCAGCCTGGGCGTTAAGAGCGAGACTCCATCTCAAAAAAGCAAAAAAACAAAAAAACAAAAAACACCTCTACTCCATCACATAGTGTTGACTAACCCATGCAGAAGTCAGAATTAGGATGACAGTTTAGAAAGCACAGATGAGAAGGAAGCATCCAAACATGGAATAACCAAATAACTACAAAAAAAGCTGCTCACTCAAAAAGATCCAATTAGTAGCATTTTTCAGGGTGTATGCCTAAGAATCACAGTCTCCTTTTAAGAGTATAAAAACGGTTCTATAAAAGGAACTTTCATCAAGTATATTAAAGAGATTAAAGATATGAACCTTAATAGAAAAAAAAATGTCAACTCTGTAATAAATTTGGAACACATAAGAGAATTACTACAACTTGGAAAACACAATTCTGATAAACATACCTAGGTAAAGGTCATAACTTAATGAGAAAAAAATTATTATTATATGTATTCAGCCTTGAAACAGCAGTAAAATGTATCTTGCTCCATTCTATAATGTAGGTTTAGAAGTCAGTAAATGCTTCCTGTTATCTTCCATAAGTTTCTCTGGCCTCTTATGAACAGTTTAGAATGGGTAATCCCTTACATCAAGTTCATTTCAGTTAACTTTCCAACTCTAGAGCCTTCCTCAAGAAAAATCAAGTATATAGAAACCCTCAGAGAAAAACTACTTTAATATGGTTTATTTGTCCATGTGTTTTACATATATACACACCTTTTTAAGAGTGTAGTCCCTTATTTTTATTTCACATATTTCTAATAACTCAAGTTTCCTGGCCTCTCACAATTAGACGAATGGATCGAATATTTTAGATGTTTGAGAAAGATAAACTAGAAGGTCCTAAGACGGTATTATAAAAAGACGAGAAACACATCATTCAAAAGCAATTTTTTTCCTAGTGTATTTGTCCCAGGCCCAGTTAATACAGGGACCAAAAGCCTTACCTACAAAAACAGTACCTAAGGATGTTGCTAATAAGTAATAATACAATCACTGGTTTCCCAAGACTACTAAATCAACAGTTAAAAGCTAAATTATGTTCACTATACTGCTTTAAAAAGGAAGAATTATCAATATAGTTTTTTAAATGTCAGTTTCTTGAAGATTTATTTACAATAATTATTTCCCTAAATCATCACAAGAATGTTTCTGTATTAAAGCCAAGACTGATCTGTCCACTAATCAAGGTCATTTATTTGACAATTTTCCTGTCACCAGTGTGTATCAAATTTAATTTAAAGCATGATCAACATTCAGCCTTAAGATAAGGGAAAAATTTTCTACCAAACCCTCACAACCGATCAGTTAATTTCCAAGCTGACCTCCTTTTACATATTTCACATGCTTTTTTGAAGTTGCATATCAAGAAATCTTATACTGAAATTGATTGTAATTATACACGTAACAGAGGAAAATATGGTCCTAAGGCCAAAATTAAAAATCGCAGAATGAAAAAAAATCAGCAAGTACTTTTAGAAGCATTCTGCCTCTATAACAGTAACAAAACTATGCAATGGAACACACAATTAAAAGTACATCTCACTGACTACATTGTGAGGTGATTGGGTTAAAAAAAAATTTGAGCATCTTAAGGAAAAAAGCACTGTGACATATATATTTTTTTAATCTATGAACTCATTATAACCATCAAAAAGGAAAGAGGGCCGGGTGCAGTGGCTCAAGCCTATAATCCCAGGTTTAGGAAGCCGATGTGGGACAATCACTTGAGCCCAGGAGTTCAAGACTAGCCTGGGCAACATGGAGAGACCCCATCTATACAAAAATAAAAAATAAAAAATAAATTAGCAGGTATGATGGTACACACCTGTGGTCCCAGCTACTTGGGAAGCTGAGGCAGGAGGATCACTTAAGCCCAGGAGGTCGAGGCTGTAGTGAGCCATGATCACGCCACTGCACTGCAGCCTGGGCAATAGAGAGCCTGTCTCAAAAAAAAGGGGGAGGGAGGAGGAAGCCAAAAAAATTATTTGCCACCTCTGGCATTAGCAGTGATCATTTCACCAAAACTCTTTACTCTGAAAGATCATTCCTCCAACTCCTAACTCTGAAATGTTCATTCTTTCCTTCTAATCTGCCTCTTCAGTAGGAACTGTAAGCAACCAGGTAATGAAACAAAACTTTCCCTTACCAGAATGCAGCAAATAAATGTAAAAGAAAAGTTAGATTTAGAAAGCCATCATTTTGCTACAACTGACTCCAGCGAATATCATCAATGGATGCATAAAACCATTAGGAAAAAGGCTGATGAGGAAATAAATATTTTCATATTGCCAAGGCTGCATCGCTGTGCAGATTACTTGCCATCTCAAGTATTTAGGAAGAAGAGATTTTGCTCTCACTACCTTAACCCAGTAATCCAATTTAACATCAAGAGTCAGATGATAAACATTCTAAGATGTGACATTATACAGCTTCACCTATGAAGTTTTCCGAATGCCAAATATGTTTGACTCTAATCAAGTTTTTAAACCTAATTTCCAACTTGCAGAAAATCCAGTTTAAAAAATCTAAAACTCAGGATGTTGCTAAGAGACATTTGGTCTTACCTGTTCAAAATGTATCAATGGAAAAAGGAGTGCAGAGACTTCGGAAATACAACTAAATGCCAAACTAGGTCCTTGATTACAACCTGAGTTGAACAAACCGGGTGAAAATAATAGCTTGGGGACAAATGACTAATTTGAACATGGACAGGATATTAGATGATACCTGGAAATTGTTTCTTAGGTGTAGTTATGGTATTGTTATATATAAGTCCTTTTTGGGAAGATACATGATAAAGTTCAACTAAATGGGTAGACTGGATGGATGAACTGGTAAACTGATAAATTAATACAACAAATATAGCAAAATATTAACAGCTGTTGAATATTGGTGATGACTAAATGTGAGTATACTGTACTTTGTTTTTCAGTATGTTTTAAATTTTCAAAATACAAAATTAAATTAAAAATTTTTTTAAAGCTTAAAATAACAAGTATCCTTAACCAGGTATCTAAATAGCATATATCTCATTTACAGTCTACTTTGTTCCAAAACATATTTAAAGTGTCTTTTAAAAGGATATACAGTCAACCCTCCAAATCCATGGGTTCTTCATATGTGAATAAAACCAACAGCATATCAAAAATATTTGGGAAGGCTGAGTATGGTACTCATATCTGTAATCCCAGCACTTTCGAAGGCCAAGGTAGGAGGATTGCTTGAGCCCAGGGGTTCGAGACCAGCCTGGGCAACATAAGGAGACCCCGCCTCTGCAATCCCAGCACTTTGAGAGGCCAAGGCAGGCAGATCACTTGAGGTCAGGAGTTCAAGACCAGCCTGGCAAACACGGTGAAATGCTGTCTCTACTAAAAATACAAAAACTAGCTGGGCATGGTGGCACGTGCCTGTAATCCCAGCTACTTGGGAGGCTGAGGCAGGAGAATGGCTTGAACCCGGGAGGCAGACAGTGCAGTGAGCTGAGATTACACCACTGCACTCCAGCCTGGGCAACTGAGCAAGACTCCATCTCAAAAAAAAAAAAAAGGAGGGGGACAATGATGTCTGTATGAAACATGTACAGCCTTTTTTTTCTTGTCATTATTCCCTAAAGAATACTTCACCACAACTATTTACACAGCACTTACATTGTATTAGGTATAATTCAAAGATGATTTAAAATACATAGGAGGATGTGCACAGGTTATATGCAAATATACACCATTTTATACCAGAGACTTGAACATATGAGTATACTGGTATTGTGGCAGGGAGAAGTCCTGGAACCAATCCCCTATGGATACCGCGGAATGACTCTACAATATAAGGGAATGTTTTAAAAGAAAAAAAAAATGCTGACAAACACGAAGCAAATATATATATATTAAAGATTATTAAAATCTTTATGCCACATATATATATGTAAATATATATACGTAAGAAACTAAGATGAACTCAAGAATAATGTCAGTACCCAGAGTAAGTTACAAATATTTACTTTCATTAGGTGTTCCCTGATCTCATGAAGACTAAAAGTCAAAGTTTGTCAGGTATTCAGCAAAGCTCTTTAATGGAGAAACACATGAAAAAACAGTCAGTATACCTTAAAAAGGTACTACCTCTAAATTGGTCACTCCTTCAAAAGACATCCTTATAGCAGCTTTTATTAGACTTTATACATTAAGCAAATCATTTCCTAAGGGGGTGTGTATAACTAAAGCGGTAGACATGACAATCAATCTATGATTAACTGCTACCTAAATTTTAAAAAGAAATCAAACTTAACTAGTATTTAATCAGATTGCCACTAGTATCCTTGATGAATACATGTCAGTCAATTTATCCAAAAGGAAGGATACTGAAAGAGTAAAAATTCCATAAAGTAGAGAGGAGTTGACACCCTTTTGTTTGCCTTCAGCACTTTGCATTGTTACAGAATGTCATTAATATAAATATAGTTCCTTTTATACTAAAAATACTTTGTAAAAACAGTAGACTGTTTACAGTAATTTTAGGCCAGGTGCAGCAGCTCATGCCTGTAATCCTAGCACTTTGGGAGGCTGAGATGGGTGGATCACTTGAGGTTAGGAGTTCGAAACTAGCCTGGCCAACATGATGAAGCCCCGTCTCTACTAAAAAAGACAACAATATTAGCCAGGTGTGGTGGCAGGCACCTGTAATCCCAGCTGCTTGGGTGGCTGAGGCAAAAGAATTGCTTGAAGCCGGAGGCGGAGGTTGCAGTGAGCCAAGATCACACCACTGCAGTCCATCCTGGGCAACAGAGCAAGACTCTGTCTCAAAAAAAAAAAAAAAAAACAAAAAAAAACCACAAAGCGAAACAGTAATTTTAATGAAACAGGAAGTGATTATTAAAATCTTTATGCCACAAAAAAATTATCCATTAATTCATAGCAAAGGACTTAAAAGAGCTATTATACTTAATAAATTACACATTTTTGGTTTACAAAATAAATGTTCTACAAATGAGACAAGTGTTAGAAACGTGCTGGCCTTTTCTAAGTAGATGTGATAAGTCATATGAGAAAATACACACCTTTAATCTGTCCCTTCTAGATAAAATGATATTTTAGTGATAAGAAAGAAACTCTTTTTCTTACTTTAAAAAGAAAAAACTCGGGCTAAGAAAATTGATGTTTAGGTATGTTTTCATTGTTACGTATTATCTGGCTAAAAAATGAAATGTGGCACTTAAAAAATGTTTTTAATCTGGACATTTAAAAATTTTCCCAAATAAAAAAGTTCAGTGAATTTTGATCTCATATAGTAATAATTATTTAATGTAACCACTTCCTAGTAGTTTTAAAAAACAAGCACACTGAAAGATGGCAGAAATGTTCTAATTAACTAAAATAAAAGCTTTTCTGTATTTAAAACAAAAAAAACTAAGATTATAACTTACAATAAATTTCTATTATTGTAGTTATTGTACAATAACTACAATAAATTTCTTCCATTTAAATGTATGTATAATCGAGTTATCTTTTTCAGCTATGATAGCCATTAAAACCCAGTATCAAGCTCAACTTGGAACCAGATATGTAAAAAATTTTATCAAAATAAGATGAAATTTCCAAAACTAATTAAGCATGTGCAATCATAATGCATTCCAAGTAAGTTCTTATACAACTAATAATTTTAGTTAATAATTTGAAAAGTATAAATATTTTATCTATGGCTCAACATTTTAAAATATTTAATATCTACTGTATTTGTTATACAAAATACATTAATACAGTAAAACAGTAAGACAAGTAATATAAATACACGTAAAAATACTGGTGTGCACTCAAATGTCTTATATATAAACTTACACAATCAAAAAAGTTTGGTTATCTTACCTTAATGAAATATCTCCAATACACAAGTAGCAATTTTGACACCCATCTCCTTCAGAGTAAAACAAGAATTGAATCTCCCTCTAAAATTTCTGATACGAGCAAATGATCATGCTCTATGAACAGAGAACTGGACTTTATCTGATTCCCAAGTTCCACTTGTTAGGGAGGAAATACAGATATACAGTCTAGAAGTCTTTGACAAGTGAGGCAGGATGTGCTCTGAAAAAAAGCCTAGTAGTCAAACCTGGGTCCCAGGATGACCAATGAACTAGGAAAAGGTACTGATCTCAGATTCCTCACAGACTGAACTATAGAAATTGTACTTGAAACTGCTAGCTGTTGCCCAATAACCATTCAGCCATTCTCCCTCATTTACTGGAATTCCTATTTTTTAGCTGGGTACATGGTTACCCATAAAAAAAATGACACTTTTCAATCTACCTTACTGATAGATGAGGTTACTAAGGTGTGGCCAATGGGATGTGAGTAGAAATGAACATACAACTTTCAAGATACAATTTTAAATGAAGGAGATATTACCTTTCCCTCCCCTTTTTTATTGAGTGGAATCAATATCTAATAGCTGAAGGGGCCATCTCAAATTATGCAATAAAGGTGAAATTAGTCATCACACATAATAGCGCAAGGTAGAAGGAGCTTGGGTCCCTGGCACTGTGCGACTCCATACTAGCTCTCAGTCACTTCCTTCTGAGCTACTGCAATTTCTTTCTTTATACCACTGTTATCTGGAGTTTTCTATCACTGTTAGCTGAGTGTAATCCTAACTAAAACCAAGGCCAAAAATTCTGAGTCAAGATGATGACTCAGTAAATTACAACCTATGGGAAGCAAATCCATGATGGCAACAGAGACTAGGAAAATAATATAAAGTCTGGAGTACAGAAAGTGTTTCTGGGGTCAGACAGGAGGCTGAGGAAATGAGAAATGGACAGCCAGGGAGGCTAAGGAGGTCTAGGTCTATGATTTGGAGAAATCTAGGTAGCCAGCTTTCCTACTTCTCTAAAAAAACAAGGATCTGCCACTGCCAAGGAATTATGAAATTCAGCTTCTGTAGCTGGCGGGTACAGAAGCTATCCTATTTCTAGGATAGTGAAGGCGAACCAAGGATAGGGCCTTGAAACAAGTAATCACACTTCTGGGCCACTATAAATTAGCCAGTCTCATCTTGAGATCCCGTAAGAATCAAGATGCAGCTCTCTATCTTTCATCAGAATTTCTTTTTGATCAGTGTCCTCAAAAGATAGCAAAGACCTTAGAGATTTTATTATTTACTTTGCTTCCTGACAGAAAAAAATTAGTAATTATGAGGCTAATTAGACAAAGGAAAAGGAGGTCAAAACTAAGGTTAAGAAAACATTTGCTCAAGGATCCTTGATATTCTTTATATCAAAATTATTTTTTTATTCACTTCCTTAAACTATCCAGGCTGTTGTCCACTCAACTTAAGGGGACTATTCACACTGTATCTTCTGAGATTGGTACCAACTGGAGTTGTCAACCAGTAAAATGCTCTCATCCTAATCTCAGACTCTGTTTATAGAAAATTAGCTTTAGCAGGAAAATAGAAATGACATCAATTATGCTTTAAACAATGTCACCATTTTGGATATTCTCATACTTCAGGAAACTTCCATGTAATCATTCCATGACAATTTATCGTTCTTGTTATGTAAGCACATATTTGATAACTAATTTGTCATTCACGATTCACTTAAAGACATGATAAAAAAACCTATGACCAAAGACCAAAATTAGGGAAAGACAGTATTTTAGGGAGGAAGAGATGGCAGAAAATAGTGCCAATACCAGTAGATCCAGATCAGAAATCTTTTGAGAAGATCCTCCAACTAAGCAATAAATATGGAAGGGAAAAGAGTACAAGGGGAGAAGACACAGGTCTACAGAGTTCCAAAAGAATCCAGGCAGCAACTATAGTAAAAATGGCAACAAGGGATTCTGCAATCCTGTCATGACTAGAAGAAAACAGCGAGAAAAATCACTAGAACTAAAGAAAATAAAATTGATGAATTTTACTCAGCTAGTTCTTACTTTAAATGTGGGCTATAAAACAAAAATTATACCAAAATGATCTTCCTTTGTGTCTGAAGCTGTGGAGCTTCTCCTGTCTATTTAAGGCATTAAAGAGGACCCCAAAATAACTTTTTGAGGAAAATTTTGGCCCTGTCCTCTACAGCAGTGGCCCCCAACCTTTTTGGCACCCGGGACCAGTTTCATGGAAGACAATTTTTCCACGGATGAGGGGGTGGTTTTGTGATAAAATTGTTCCACCTCAGATCATCACACATCAGATTCTCATAAGCAGAGCACAACCTAGATCCCTCACATGCAGAGTTCACAATAGGGTTCGCGCTCCTATGAAAATCTAATGCCACCGCTGATCTGACAGGAGGTGGAACTCAAGCGGTAATGCTCACTGGCCCGCAGCTCACCTGTTGCTGTGCAGCTGGGTTCCTAACAGGCCCCAAACTGGTACTAGTCCATGGCCCACAGTCTGGGGACCCCTGCTCTACAACAAGGACAGCAGAACAGCCTCCTATTCTAAGAAACACTCCTATCAGAGCCTAAATTTATGCAATCTCATACCCAGCTCTGGTGATCAATAAAACTTATGTATAGGGCAAAAGAAAACAAAAGGCTAATTACATTCTCAACAGTTCTCAGATAGTATCATATAACTCATCTTCTTATCAATATATTAAAAAATCTAGTGAGAACTGATATCCAAGGTAGGCTGTTTGAAAGATAACTTAAAATCTACCTGGGATTGGATCAGTCAGACCATGATGTTAGCCCCTGTAATACTGCTCATACTGGAATATATATTGAGGGATATAAGAAAAAGCCCTATGTTCATTGAAATTATGTTAAAGATTTTTTTATATCACACTGGTTGAAATTTCTTTCCAGTTTTAGTGTCAAAAATTATTTTCCTTTTCCTAGATACTAAATTTGTTTTTACATTCAGGACATTGTATTCTTCACCTTGGAATGTTTCCTCTTCAATAGTAATTGCTATAAATCTGATAGGCAAAGTTGTACCCCACCTGCATCAAACATTTTATTTTCTTAACTTCTAGTCTCATTATCTGGTCCCACTTTTTTCTTGTGCGTTTTTCCAGTCAAAATTTACTAAATGCCTACTATTCTAGTGCCGGTATGAATAACATACATAGCTGCAATCCCTGCCTTCCTGGAGGTAAATTATTTAAATATCTTTAATAATTAAAGTATGGCTAAACCTCCATGAATAATTCCTGGGATTAAACACAGTAATGTTGAGAACTGCAAGAACTGTAAAGGGTCTGGGATTTTTTACCCTACTCACAAACTAATGAACTAGCCCATTACTGATTCATGTTTACTGACAGAAGACACAAGGGTACTGGGTAAAAGACAAAGAACTCTGTCACCCATGGCACAGCAAGCAGCATGATGACAAGATAACCCTGTCTCCTCAAGTTCCACAGGGACAACACAGATATGCCTATACAGATGCCTACAAACACAGTGGGTTGAAATACAGGAGAGCAACATTGTTGAAAAGGCATTGCCTTTTATAGTGAGCAGTAAGCAAGCCTGCTGATTGTCGAGTTAAGAGGTAGGGGTGAGAGAGCAAATGTAATGTCATCCTTCAATGCTGCTTGCTGCAATTATGACCCTGAGAAATGGTCCAGGAAAAGAGTGGTCAGGACCTTGCTTTCTTGCCATGCTGAGCAAGAAAGCTCAAGAACACTCAAAACTCATGGCAGACAACCTCTCCCAGTAAGTTTATGTTAAATAACTAGACTTATTAAACATCCTGGGAAAATAAGAAGAAAAATTATTTCTATACTAAACTTTAAGCTCCATTAAGAAGAGATCATCAAGTTTTGTTTTACTCAACATTGTATGTCCACTGCCTAGCATATTACCTAGCATATAACAGACATTCAATAAATGAATAAAGTCAAAATCAGCTAATTTGTACAAAAAAATTATCCAAGTTAATGTTTATTCCTAAACCACAATTTCTTCAACTGTAAAATGAGTATGAAGTTAGAGGTTTTTTCTTATATCTAGTTGCATTCCATCCTGAATCAACTTTATCTGATAAAGAAGGGTTCAAGTAGCTTGCAGTACACGTCTACCTGTTGGCATTTATCAAAGGCACATCTTTAGAGCACGTCTCTGGTATTCAAGATTAACAAAATCACTGGCCAATGACTATTTTTCTGTCTAAATTGCTTGGTCTTTAATAACTAAGCGCCATTTTGGGCACTCACACATCTTTCCTACAAACACACATATATTCTTTAAACAGGAAAAAGAACTATCTTCTTTGTTCTTTCAAGAACAAAACTAAAAAGAAACACACACACACACAAAAACAAAATAACATCCTAATCTTGCTGACTACAAAGCTAAATGAAATCTGAGAACCGATTTAGAGCACTGATCTTAACAGAACTTATGTACTTGAAGGCAAAAAAAATTTAGAATGATTGCAATCTATGTACCATGACTTACATATTAATAACCTCAGGAAATTAACCATTCTCAAAACTTCAGTTTACTGGGCTATAAAATGAGATTAATAGTACAGGTTGAGTATCCCTAACCCAAAAATCAAAATACAAAATACAAAACTTTTTGAACACCAAAATGACATTCAAAAGGATATGCTCATTGGAGCATTTTGGAGTTGGGATTTTCAGATTAGGCTGGCTTGCTGAACGAGTAAGTATAATGCAAATACCAAAAAATAAAATCCAAAATCTGAAACACTTCTGGTCCTAAGCATTTCAGGTAAGGGATACTCAACCTGTAGTATCTACAGCTCTTAAGGTTTTCGTGAAGATTTAGTAAGATAGAGCTAGCAAAGTAGTTTTGCACAGTATTTGGTACATTAACATCCACACATTTTAACTATTTTTTCAACTTCCTTTATATATAAAATCCCTTAAGAGAAAAGAGCTGGGTGCTTTCTTTTTAAGCTGCATCTGCCTACAATACTCATCTTGAAATCACTTTCTCAAAAATCCTAAGATTAACACTAGTTTCATGACAACATATATAAAATAGCAGTTCAAAGAATAATTTATCATCTTCTGAGTTTTTGGGACCTTACTGTGATGGTTAATTTGATTTTTTAATTATTTAGTTGACAATAATATATGTTTATGGTGTACAACATATTTTGATATATGTATACATTGTGGAATGGCTAAATCAAATTAATTAACATGCATTAACTCACATCAACTTTTTTGTGGTGAGAGATTGTTCACTTTATACGTCAACTTGGCTAGGCCATGATTCCCCAATATCTGGTCAAACACAAGTCTAAATGCTGCTGTGAAAGTATTTTTTAAATAATTAACATTTAAACCAAAAGACTTGAGTAAAAAAGATTACTCTCCACAATATGGGTCAGCCACAATCAATTAGGTAAAGGTCTTCAGAGACAAAAATGGAGGTCCCCTGAATAAGAGAAATTCTGCTTCCAAAATGCCTTTGGACTCAAACTGCAACATCAACTCTTCCCTAGGTCTCCAGCCTGCCAGCCTACCCTGCAGATTTTGGGCTTGCCAGCCAGTCTCCACAATCACATAAGCCAACTCCTTAAAATCAATCAATCAATCTCTCCCTCTCTCTCTCGTTATAAACACACACACACACACACACACACACACACACACACACACACACACACAAAATCTATTGGTTCTGTTTCTCTGGAAAACCTTGCAAACTCAGTGAAGTTTGTTAATAGCTTTATTACTAACACAAAATTAATATTACTAACAGATGAAAAAATCTGAAAGCAAGGAAAGTAATGCAAACACACCATAAAAGAAATAAACATCAAGGTAACAACGGAGAGGGTTCCAAAATCCCTAAGTAAAAATTACTGGATGCCAGAAATTTTATATTTATTATGACTTAATTAAAAGAGTCACTGGTTCAATATGGCAGACTTTGTACATCTTTATTTCTCTCCCCACCCCCAAATCCCATTAAAATGAGAAGAAACAGAAGGTAAAAACCTGTAACAACAAAGTGAATAAAAAGAAGACCAAAAGCAAATGAAAGATTTAAATACAATTCTAGGAGATGAAGAGAAAACTGAACAGAAAAGATTACTAAAACAGAGCATGAAAAAGTCATAGCCTAGAGTCCAAAGGAGCTGAAGCTTAAGAAGTTGTGAACAACCTTGTCTAACTTTTAGAATCTCTAAAAATGAAATGATAGATGGTATAAGTAGTGAGCTGGGCTAGACATAAGGATTAACTGAAAGCCTTAATACTTTAATACTGAGAGGTCAACCTCATCTCTTCCCCTACTTGAATACCCAGCAAGGCCTACAACCAAGCATTGAACTCAAAGTAAGAGAAAGTATTTTCTTAACCCTGAACTTAAATTGAATGAACTGAAGGAAATAGGACAGTTACCATCTAATGATAAGGTACTTCTCACCCTGGTTCCCCAAAATAACCTCAGGCTATCTATCTAAAGCCTACTTATCCCACAGCAAAACTTGACTAGATTTCCTATTCACTGTAAATATTAACAACCAACCAAAAATAATCTGACCTTTGGGGAAAGCACACAGTACTATGAGAAAGATCAAAATAAACAAATAGGAAAATTAATTCAGACTATATATAAAGAGAGATTTATTCAGTTGACCCTTGAACAACATGGGTTTGAACTGCGCAGTTCCACTTATACATCGATTTTCTTCTACCTCTGCCACCTGTGCGACAGCAAGACTAGCCACTAGCCCCTGTTCTTCCTCCTCCTCCACAACCTACTAAACATGAAGATGAAGATGAAGACTTTTTTAATGATCCACTTCCACTTAATGAATATTAAATACATATTCTTTTTGATGATTTTCTTCATGACATTTCTCTAGTGTACTTTATTGTAAGAATACAGTAGATAATACACGTAACATATAATGTACAAAATATGTGTTAATCAGCTGTTTCTGCTATCAGTAAGGCTTCCAGTCAACATAGGCTATTAGTACTTAAGTTTGGGGGAAGATAAAAGTTATATGCGAATTTCTGAATGCAAAGAATGGGGGCTCTGTGACCCTAAATCCCACATTATTCAAGAGCCTACTGTATATCCCTTTGAGAATAGACTACTACTAAAAACATGGAATAAAGAGAATACATGAAAGAATTCTTAGCAACAGTAAAATATTTGTCAAAATGAAATATCCAAAGAGGTGGAAAATATGGCAATAAGCATCTAGAAAGACATAAAGCAAAATGTTGGAAAGACACAAGAAATACGTAAAAAGCACCAGCCAACATCTGTCTTCCAGGAGTTTGCAGAGAAAACACAAGAAAAGTTCCCAGACTTGAAGAGAACACACTCCAAATTGAAAAGGCCCACCAAGTGCCCAGGGAAATAAATGAAAGGCTAATGCAGATACATCACTGCAATTTCAGAACATCAAAAGGTAAAGAGAAGATCCTAAACTGGGTTGGAGGAAAGGCAACCTAACAATGCAGCAAGCCTTATATAAGTATCAGGCAACACAGCAGCAATATTAAATGCTAGATGGCTAAGAAACAATGAGTTAAAATTTGAAGGAAAAGTGATATTCAACTTTGGATTCTATGTAAAACCAAATCATTACTCAAGTATGAGAGTATTAGAAAATTACCAAGGACTTCAACAAAGAAAGAGGGTATAGATAAAAAATAAAGAAGATCGAATACAGGGAAACAACAGCTCTAATCAAGGAGAGCAGTAAAGCTCAGAGACAGAAGATGTATAACATGCCTAGAAAATGACAAACTCAGGGGGCTCTGGGCAACAAATCTCCAGGGGAAAAATGAATTCAATAGACCAATAGTAGGCTCAAAATCTTGGAAAAAGAAGTCTCTTGTAACAGCACAGAAATGCAAGTTTATACAAACACACATACAAACACACAGTCAGCAACTGTACTAGAATAAAAACTGTACTAGTCTTGGTCCAAGGTGTCTTGGTTTTTTTAGGGTTTCAGTAATACAATGGAATAAATTTAAGCAACAGATGAAGAAACAAAAACTATCAGAGATACAGTAATGAAGACAAGATTAATTTTATTTCACATTTTAAGTTAAAAAGACAAAAAATTAAATAGTCAATGCAAAGTACAACTAAGATATATTCAGTTTTATATTATGTCAAGCTATGGAAAGCAAAAATAAATGTAAGCAAGTAGAACTAAAACAGAAAAGCCACAGAATATGCAAAATAAAGACTTCAACTGGAAAGCTCCGGCCTTGGGCCAGAAATTCCCTACTCTGGATTTTCTGAATTTATAAAGTGATACTTTAGTGTTTACATTAAAAGATGTGTATGTTTTAACTCTGAGTTCAATTGTTACTTTTGTTATTAAGGATGGCTGCAGCAATGACTATGGAAAAATATTTGAAAAGAACTGCACAATCTATTAGAAATGTCTAAAGCAGGGCCGGGCACAGTGGTTCATGCCTGTAATCCCAGAACTTTGAGAGGACAAGGCGGCAGAATGGCTTGAGCCCAGGAGTTCAAGACCAGCCTGGGCAACATAGCAAAACCCCAACACTGCAACAAAAAAAGAAAAAGAAGAAATATCTACATAGAACAGCAGTCTATAACCCAGAAAAAGCATAAGAAATAAAACAACAAGAAACAAACCGAACTGAGAGCAATTAAAGCTGCTTATATAAATGTAGTAGTTACCACTGTGCTTTTAAGCTATATTGCATATAATTTAAAGAAGCTATGAAATACATAAAGCCTACCAATAAAACTTAGGACTAAAGTGAACATAAAAAATCATTTGTATTTCTTTTTATAAAAAGAAATAACAGTTTCATGGATAATTTAGTTTGGAACAGACCTTAAAAGGTCACCTGAAGCCAGGCGCAGTGGCACATGCCTATAATCCCAGCACTTTGGGGGGCTAAGGTGGGCAGCTCGCTTGAGCTCAGGAGTTTGAGACCAGCCTAAGCAACATGGTGAAACCCTGTCTCTACAAAAAAACACAAAAACAGGCCGGGCATGGTGGCTCACACCTGTAATCTCAACACTTTGGGAAGCCAACGCAGGTGGATCACCTGAAGTCAGGAGTTCAAGACCAGCCTGATCAACATGGAGAAACCCTATCTCTACTAAAAATACAAAACATTAGCCAGGCATGGTGGCGGGCATGGTGGTGGGCACCTATAATCCCAGCTACTTAGGAGGCTGAGGCAGGAGAATTGCTTGAACCCGGGAGGCGGAGGTTGCAGTGAGCTGAGATAGTGTCATTGCACTACAGCCTGAGCAACAAGAGTGAAACTCTGTCTCAAAAATAATAATAATAATAATTAGCAGGGCGTGGCAGCACACACCTGTAGTCCCAACAACTAGGCAGGCTGAGGTGGGAGGATCACTTGAGCCTGGGAAGTGGACGTTGCAGTGAGCTGAGATTGTACCACTGCACTCCAGCCTGGGCAACACAGTGAGAGCCCCATCTCGAAAAAAAAAAAAAAAAAAAAGGTCACCTAATACAAATAACTATCTGATGCCTGAATCCCCACTGAAACACCTCAGTCAACGGGTCATAACCAGCAAAAGCGAAAATCCTATATGCCCAGCCAGGGAACCTATTATTCCATTTTGGAGAACCACAAGTTCCCCCTTTTAGCCACTTAAACTCTGCCTCCCTCTAACTGCTGCCTAAGGGACCTAGGTCTTTCCCTTTTATTCATAAAGAAGTCAAATCTCTTATCAATATGATAAACTTCCAAATATCTATGGCAGCTACTAGGTCATACTCTTTCGATCTTTTGGCATTTCCTCTTCTTCCCTAAGTTACAGCTCTAATTCTATGAAGTGTTTACCTCTCTTTTATCTTTTGCTCTCTTCAAAACATACTCCACATTCATCTGAACCTCTCTACGTAAAACTCAAAATGATATGTAATCTTAATCATCAATCTTACAGAAATTTTTATTCTTAAAGGGTATGTATGTGCTTACAAGGTTCATCAGTTCATCTTGTTCAACATTTGATAAAAAGTATATACTTTGTCTTAACCAATGTATTTCCATCTCATCTGCATGGCTACACGTATTAAATTTGTATTTTTCATGTTCAACCATGATTGTCTCTGTAATAATAAGTCTCCCATCAAAGAAAAGCCCAGGACCCAGTCTTCACTGCAGAATTCTATCAAACATTTAAAGAACAAATACCAATTCTCAAATTCTTCCAGAAAATTGAAGAGGAGGGAATTCTTCCTAACCCATTCTGTGTGGCTAACAGTACCCTGATACCAAAACCAGACAAAAACACAACAAAAAAAGAAAATTAGAGGCCAATATCCCTGATTAATATAAATGCAAAAATCCTAGCAAACTGAATCCAGCAGCACATTAAAAAGATCACTCACCACAATCAAGTAGCATTTATCCCAGGAATGCAAGAATGGTTTAACATATGAAATCAATAAATGTGATACATCACATCAACAGAATGAAGAACAAAAACAGTATGATCATCTCAATAGACACAGGAAAAGCGTAAGTGATAAAATTCAACATCCCTTCACAATAAAAACTCTCAACAAGTTAGGTATAAAATAAACATATCTCAACACAATAAAGGCATGACAAACCACAGTCAACATCATACTAAATGGGGGAAAGTTGAAAGTTTTTCCTCTAACATCTGAAACAAGACAAGGATGCCCATTTTCATTCGACACAGTACTGGCAGTCCTAGCCCAAGCAATTAAGCAAAAGAAAAAAATATTAAATAAAGGACATCCAAATTGGAAAGGAAGAAGTCAAACTGTACATCTGCACTGTTAGAACTTATAAACAAATTCATTAAACTTGTAGGATACAAAATAAACATACAAAAGTCAGCAGCATTTCTATATACCAAAATAAACTAGTGGGGAAAAAAATCAAGAAAGCAATCCTACTCACCGAAAAATGTAGAACACTTTGGTATAAATTTAAGCAAGAGGTTAAAGATCTCTGCAAGGACAACTACAAAAAAAACTAATAACAGAAATTAAAGAGAACACACATCAAAAAATGGAAAGACATCCAACGTTCGTGGTTAGAAGAATATTGTGAAAATGACCACATTACCTACCAAAAGCAGTGTATAGATTCAATGCAATGCCTACCAAAATACCAGTAACAATATTTACAGAAATAGAAAAAAAAATCCCCAAAACCACACAAAAAAAACAATACACAGAACCACAAAAAAAAAAAACTAGCCAACATAATCCTGAGCAAAAAATGCAATGCCTACCAAAATACCAGTAACATTATTTACAGAAATAGAAAAAAAAATCCCCAAAACCACACACACAAAAAAAAATACACAGAACCACAAAAAAAAAAAAAACTAGCCAACATAATCCTGAGCAAAAAATAATAATAATAATAAAGCTGGAGTTATCACACTACTGGACTTCAAAATATACTACAAAGCTATGATAACCAATACAGCATGGTACTGGCCTAAGAACAGACATACACACCAATGGAACAGAAAAAGAAACCCAGAAATGAATCCACATATTTATAACCAACTGATTTTCAACAAAGGCACCAAAACAATCATTTGGGAAGGAATAATCTCTTCAACAAATGGTGCTAGGAAAACTGGATATCTATGTGCAGAAAAACGAAACTAAACCCCATCTCTCTCCATATACAAAAATCAACTCAAAATGGATTAAAGACTTAAATGTAAGATCCAAAACTAAGAAACTACCAGAAGAAAATGGGAGAAATGCTTTAGGACATTGGTCTGTGCAAAAATTTTATGGAGACCTCAAAAGCACAGGCAATAAAAGCAGAAGCAGACAATTGGGATTAGATCAAACTAAAAAGCTCTGGACAGCAAAGGAAACAATAAACAGAGTGAAGAGAAACCTACAGAATGGGAGAAAATATTTGCTACTGAGCCATCCAACAAGGGATTAATATCCAGAATATATAAGGAACTCAAACAACAACAACAACAAAAAAGCAATCCAATTTTTTAAATGAGCAAATAAGCTGAAAAGACATCTTTCAAAATAGACATACAAATGACTAACAGGCATACGAAGAAAATGCTCAACTTCACTAATCATCTGGGAAATGCCAATCAAAACTACAATGAGATATCATCTCATCCCATTTAGAATGGCTATTATCAAAAAGATAAAAAATAATAAACACTGGCAAGAATATGGAGAAAGGGGAACTCTTACACACTCTTGGAGGGAATGTAAATCAGTACTGTCATTATGGAAAACATATGGAAGTTCCTCAAAAAACTAAGAACAGAACTACCATATGATCTAGCAATCCCACCACTGGGCATAAATAGCCAAAGGAAAAGAAATCAGTATCTCTGCACTCCCATGTTTATTACAGCACTATTAACAATAGCCATAATACGAAATCGACCTAAGTGTCTACCAACAGGTGGATGAATAAGAAAATGTGGTATATATATACACAATGGAATACTAACTAACCATTAAAAAAGAACAAAATTCTGCCATTATGGGAACACAGATGAGCTCTAGGACATTAGGTGAAATAAGCCTGGCACAGAAATATAAATACCGCATGCTCTCACTCATATATAGCAGCAAAAGAGTTGAGCTCACACAAGTAGACAGTACAATAGTGATTACCAGAGTTGGGGAAGGGGAAGGAGCAGGGGGAATAGCCAAAAGTTTGTTAATGGATACAAAATCACAACTAGGCAGGGCACAGTGGCACACACCTGTAATCCCAGCACTTTGGGAGGCCAAGGCAGGCAGATCACTTGAGGTCAGGAGTTCAAGACCAGCCTGGTCAACATGGTGAAACCCTGTCTCTACCAAAAATACAAAAACTAGCTGGGCATGGTGGCAGGCCCCTGTAATCCCGGCTACTCAGGAGGCTGAGGCAAGAGAATCACTTGAACCCGGGAGGTGGAGGTTGCAGTGAGCCAAGATCGGCCCCCTGCACTCCAGCCTGGATGACAGAGAAAAACTCCATCTCAAAAAGAAGGAAAAAAAAGAAAAAATTACAGCTAGATAGGAGGAATAAATTCTAGTACTCCATTAACACTACAGGGTAACTACAATTAACAATTTATTGTGCATTTCCAAATAGCTAGAAGGGCAACTTTTGAATGTTCCTAACACAAAGAAATGACAAATATTTGAGCTGATAAATATGCAAATTAACCTAATTTGATCATTACGTATTGTACACATGCATAAAAATATTACTGTACCCCACAAATACGTACAATTATGTGTCAAAAACAATTTTTTAAAACTCGATTCTCAAAAATAAGTTATTAATGTAAAAGGTTCATTGAAGCACAGAAGCTTTAAAAAAATCAACTAATAATAAACAAAAACAGTCAAGACTCCAGTGAAGATATATAATGAACTTATATGTGTAGTTGGATTCAGAGATCTAATTAATATGCACAAATAGCCCCACCAACCCCCAAGAAAGTACAAATAGGGAGTAATAAATATCTGAAAACTGAATTTCACTAGACCAGAGAGCCACTACGTTTAGTTCAATGTACTGTCTGATTGAAATGCTGTCCAAGAGAAACACAAAGCCATAAAACCCAAAACTTTTTAAACAAATCTGTGACACACTGGTACACCAAACCTTTTTTCCAGAACAAGTGCAATATAATTTTTCCAATATTACATAGATGAATTGTCTAGTGATAAAGGAGCCTCAAACTAGGTATGACTAAAGTTTAAAATTCATATGCCAAAAAAGGGACTAAATCACACTATTACTGATAGTTTTACTAATTGTAAAACTAGTCTTAACATATATTACAAGTATTACAACACTTTGCTTGAAAGCAGTGCAAGTAAAAATTCTATCGAACAACACTGCTTGATGTCATATAATATCAATGTCATTTATGATAGGAAAGCAACATGTGATGTAAGCAGGTGTTTTCCTTTACTTGAAAAAATACTCAATTACACAATATGAATCAACTCTTCCCAAATATTTGGGATACCTGTAAGAGTTCAATGACTTTTTAATTTGCTTAACCTCCAAAAACCATACTAGAGAATTTTTTTTTAATTAAGTGAATGATGATTTTGCTAGCCATAATGCAGCCTTGAAAGGACATCTTGGTTTCACTGAAGGATGCAGTAGCTGCAAGTAGTAACCTACAGTAGCAGATAAGAGTGCTATCTGAATGAAAGGCTCATGTTTCTACAGTATGTCTGTTTTGTTGGTCTTAAAACAATGTTGAACTATATTGTAAAAACTAAAGATATCAACTTACAGCCACTGAACATTTATTTTCAATATACCATATTAAGAAATGGATTGTAAACACAAGATTGTTCCACACTTATGAATCATAGCTTAGCTGTCAATGTAAAAAGGGAACACATTTGTTTGTAAAATGAGAGATAAAATAAACATTTCTTCATAACACTGATACTGCCAGTAAACACCATTTCAGTGATTTTGAATACACTCCTCAAGTGGTATATATAAACAGTATATTCACTATCTCAAACCTGTTACTTGGGAAAATACTCTTTTGCTTACTTGCTAGAGGTTAAAAAAATATATTAATGGGCACATCTAAAAACCATATGCAAACACTACAATTAGATGAAGTAATACTTGACACAGTCAAAAGCATTCAAAGAAGAAAGCTGGCTGCTTTCTCTCAAAATAAAACAACTGGCATCCCAACTTTTGTGTATCCAACAGAGCACTAAACGTAATCTTCTATGTTTCTTATTTTTATAATTTTCTAAAACTATGATTTTTTGAGACAGCTGAAATACAATCCAAATCACTATGTCAACAACAAAAATACTGGTCCGAAACCAGCCTGGTTCATCATAACAGAAAAGATGATGTAGCAATTATTTTGGTAGCTAATTTTAGCACTAAGGTTACAAAATAGCCACAGTCTATAGCTTTCATTGGTCTAAGGAATACATATAGGATTATTTCCCTGCTTAGCTTCAATGAAAACAGCTAGTAAAAGCCCATTGTGCCAGAAACAACAATCTGGGCAAGAACTATGTTGTTTTTATTTAAAAACAGCTGAAGTTATTTATAAATAGCTGAAAGTTCCTGTCCACACAGGGTTTTCATCAATAATTACAATAAGATTTCCCAGGCCAAGCACAGTGGCTCACACCTGTAATCCCAGCACTCTGTGAGACATAGGCCGGAGGATAGCTTGAGGCCAGGAGTTAAGAGACCAGCCTGGGCAATATAACAAGACCCTGTCTCTACCAAAATAAATGAATAAATAAATAAATAAATAAATAAATAAATAAGATTTCTTTTTTGCAATTATCTCTTAAATCTAACAAAAAGTTAAATTTTTTTTCAAAAATGTTTTCCATTTTGCTTTCAGAAAATGTGTGGGCCTTTTACTGACCCAAATATCCCAAAAGGAAAAGAACTTTGAAGAAATCAAGATAAATCCCCTGCTAGATGGCACAATGAAATTTAAACAATCCTAAACAGAAAAGCCTTATTAAGTTTCCCCCACATATTTCCTTACATATCTTAAAAACATATACACTATACATATACCAATACAAACATTCTGCTACAGAATCAAAGATAAATAATTCTAGTAACCAAATTTTAATATCAGAAAATTTAGGAAGTAATTTAAGTTCCTAAATTTAAAAGTTCATTTAAAAGATAACAGAATCACAAACGAATAATAAATCGTATCTCAAAAAATTTCTATGTACTTCATAAAGGTGCTCTAAGTCTTCTATTAGCAAAAGAAATGTACAACAAAACTGAAGAGATTTTTCACATTAATAAAAACTTTTCATTATCAACAGAAATCAATTTTTAAAAAAGGACAGGAAGTAGGAATACAGGTATTACTATAGGGGTGGAATTTTATAAGTAAAATAGTCTAACAAGATGACACATGTGTCAGTTCCACATCCAATATAACCACCCTTGAAGGTAACTGGAGTTCCAGCAACAACCATGTTAATATTAAATAAATGTTCTTCCTGAATTTGGACTAAACTAGGAAACAGTCAGCATACAACCAAACACTGTCAAAAATGCTTAAAAATAAAGATAATTAGAGCTACTATACTGACACAAGCACCAAAGTAAAAAACTTGAACAATGCATACATAAAACAAAATTTTAAAAGCTTTAAAACATTTAGAATACAACAACAGAACAATGTAAACCTAAGTAATAACACAACATAATATAAATAATTCAGAGATACACTATTAGCAAGCAATTCAAAAGACCTCAGTTTTAAGTTGTTAAAATGAAGCTTCCTAGTAGCCAGTGTTGAGGTCCTCAGGCAGAGTAACCTGGCAAACTTAAGGGCCAACAGCAGACCACCTATTCCCAACTTTAAGTATTGCCGTATTAAATTTAAAATATACATAGAAAATGTTTTAAAAAATGAAAAATATGCTGAACAAACTGTACAGGAGAAAAAGTCTAGTCAATGAAAAACAAACCAACATCACATAAACCTGAGAACTATTTACTCTAGGGAATGGTGAGGGAAAACCTTACTGTTCCATGGGAGGCTGATTTTACCTTTACCTATAATTTTACTCACAGAATAGCTATTAGTAATTGCCACAACGTTTACAGTAATATTTTCTCTGCTTTATAAAAGAAAAACTGTTTTTTATACATTAACATGACAAAGTAATTTCTTATTAAGGATAGTTTAGCCTTACAGAAAATTACTATCTTCAGTCTTTCAGTTACTTCAACTACAGACCCTTTTCTGTCCAACAGAAATATAAGACACATATGTAATTTTGAATTTTCAAGTAGTCACTTTTAAAAAGGCAAAAAAAACAAAACAAGTGACATAAATTTTAACCACAAATATCCAAAATATCACCTCAGCACATAAGCAACATAAAAAAATTGAAGAAATATTTTTTAACTTTTTTTCATACTGAGTCTTCAAAATCTAATGTGCATTTTATAGCACATCTCAATTAGGACCAGACTCATTGCAAGCGACCAGACTCATTGCAAATGACATGTGGCTAGTGTTTACTGTCCAGGGCAGCAGAGGTATAGAGTTCTTTCTCTGGTTTTAAGATACATGTACAAAATACCAAAGGAGGTGAAATGGGAGCAAACAATGTAAATATTTCAGGGGCTGGGAGGTATGCTGAGAAAGGTCAATTCAGCCATCCCCCGACTCCAGCAGGCCTAAGGTGACCACATGTCTCAATTTGCCGGGCAATCCCTATTTACTAAAGAGTCCCAATTTACACCTGTTGTCATGATGTAATTATTAAAGTACTCTCTGTAATTCTAGTAAGTGTCCCATACTGGATAATAAATTATATGGTCACCCTACCTATATCCATAATATCCTTGAGGATAACTCCACACTCCTTGGAAGAAAATTTAGTTTAAATTTTAATTCTGATGCCTGGAAAAGAAGCTCTAAATTCAAAGGAAATAACCCTAAATTTACTACCCTCCTCATTAAAAAAAAAAAAAAGAAAAAAAGAAAAAAGAAAAAGCTGCTGAAAATTTTTTTATTTTAAATTGCAGACTAAAAAAAAAAAAAAAAAAAAAAGTAAGAATTACCTGTTGAACAAGGCATCTGGAAATTGGGATCATTGCTATCCAAAACAGGCAAACAGAACTGGTTACTTGCAGATCCTAGCATAGGATCCTTATCGCTGAGCATGTTCTTCAGCGAGTCCTCTAAGACATTTTGACTTGCACTAAAATCCTCACAGACTTCATTCTCCAGGTTGGATCCTAGAAATAGGGCATCATCTAAGTGTTCAGTAGGAATTAAATGATTAAATGTATCAACTATATCCATGAAGACTTCTGTGTGTCTTTCAGCCCTATAGAAAGACAAAAAAAATACCATAAGAAATAAAGCTATCAATTGAAAATCACCTAATACCAAATTATTTTAATAGTTTTGAGTCTAAGAACACACTTAAGGTATTTCTGAATTGTTGTTTAAAAAAAAAATCCTCACTTGTTTTTAGAATATACATTTGGAAATGTAGAACGAATCTTTACTAAATAATGTTTCTTCATCATGCATGTAGTATATCATTTTACCAGAAATCCTACTAAATGTTTACTCAGTTCATTATTTTTAGGAAAAAAAAACTATGTATATAGTCCATTAACTTGACACATACAAAAGAATTACATGGCTTAAAGCATAAAAACTATTGTTTTTAACCACAACCTTTTCACAAATTAAGCATCAGACACTGCTTTTACAATAAGTCCACATAAAAGAGCTAAAATCAAATATTTTAAATTTTTATCCCATACCTATTAAAACCATAAAGTAGGCTTGTTTTATTTACAAAGTATTAAAATTATTTAAAGAAAGGTAATATATATATAGACAAAGGGCTTTTATTGTGGGGGAAGAGGTGGAAAATGAAAAAGAAACTATTAACCCAACAAATCAAAACTTAAAAGACTACACACACACACAAAGATGTGCACAAACACACCTTTTTTCAAGGCCCCCTTATAGGATAAAAACAAGATAAATGACACAAAGACAATCTACATCATGTATTTAGATTTATTTTAGTTATGTGTGGTCTATACAAGTATCAAGTTAGTCTCCCATTTGAATTGTACCTACATTGCTCAGCAAAGTCATTTCAAAGCTCTACAGGAGCCTCAATTATGAAAAGTTAAAACAATTAAGTTAAATCAGTTTGAGAGAAAACTGAATCAACATATTTTAGGGGGTGGAAAGTCAACCGAAAAAAGTTAATATTAATTTAACAAAAAGTCCCAGTGATTAACCTATAACATCCTGGGCTCCTTAATTCCAAGATTTTTGAGATTAGCTCCAAATTTAACAAAATTTCCTCAAACTAGTCTTGAATTCTCTCCCCCTATAAAAATGAGGGAAGAATTTCAGATACATGCTAACATTCACTAGTTATATATGTCATACTGTACAAAACATTTAACCAACATTTATATAATTTAAGCCCCAATAATAAACAGGGTCTATTAACATCCTCGCATTATTTAAAAAAATGCACTTGAATAATTTAAATGTCTTCCCCAAAGTCACAAAACAGAGCCAAAATTCTAGCCTGGGTTTCAAGCTCCACAGCCCATACCCATTAGTAAGTGTTACCCTTTCACACTGAGCTAAGGGCTGGGATGATCTGACTCATTAAGGGCTCTTTAAAAACAATTTTCCTGCCAGGCCCAGTGGCTCATGCCTGTATTCCTAGCACTTCGGGAAGTGGGCAGATCACTAGAGCCCAGGAGTTGGAGACCAGCCTAGGCAACAAGGCGAAACCCCGTCTCTACAAAAAAAAATACAAAAATTAGCCAGGTGTGGTGACGTGTGCCTGTAGACCCAGTCACTCGGGCGGCTGAGTTGGGAGGATCACTTAAGCCCGGGAAGTGGAGGTTGCAGCGAAATCAACCCACTGCACTCCAGCCTGGCAAAAGAGCCAGAACCTGTGCCCAAAAAAAAAAAAAAAATCCAACAAATTAGTGACTGCCTGGGGCCACGAATAGGGAAAGGATGAACTGCAAAAGGGCAGGTGCATACCTGAGAGATGACGGAAATGTCCTAAATCTTGGTTGTGATAATGGTTTCACGAATCTGTTCATTTTTAATGAATGCATTTATTATACCTCAATTTTTTTTAAAAAAAAAGCAAATTCCTCTCTCACAAAAGTTAATGTCCTTCTAAATAGAAGTTTCAGTATCTCTTCTCATTTTTTTTCCATTTATTTACACTGAAATGTTAATAAAGCACTGAAAGAAAATGCTAACTACTTTACAGATTTGCTGCTTATTTTACATGCATTCTCTCAACTGACAGAAAATTGTAGCTAGCAATGCTGAAGAAAACTCAGGACAAGTTCCTTTAAGAATTCCCTACCACTATATCATCTCAGTGCCAAAGAAAGTCTCGATTATCATACAACACCAATACTTACGCCCAATATGTTTTTAGGTTCCAAAAAAAAATTTAGTATATTAAATTCTGGTAATTAAAAATAATTTATGAAAATATTCACTAAATGTTTACAAAATTAAGTAGAACTACCAATGAATTCATTTATCTGAACATACTGGAATCCAATACAGCAAACCAAAGCCACCTCCTCTTCAGAGAGTTGCATCCCAATTAGTAATCTTTTTTCTCAGATCAATCAAAAAGAAAAAAGGCAGTTTCAGCCCTAGAAACAAATGGCTAACCTTCCTTCAAAAAACGGTATACTGAATCTACTGAAAAAGTAAATGCACTTGTTACCATAGCAACATGAGGCCAGCAAATTCTGCAAACTTCCTATGAGGTCTTCCTGTTGTACCAACTATATGCTGTGAGCTTTCAAGTGATGGGAACATTCACAACATTCAGAAGTTATGGTCACAAAGCTCAAGATCCCATAGCTATACTGAAGACCAGGCCATTCTAACTAGTCATCTAAAGGAGCAATTTTTTTTGTTTTCAATAATACTGCTATTAGTGAAACCATCCTAAAACTCCTTTACTGAAAGTGGCTTCAGAGCCTGTAATATATTTCTTGAAGATCGATTTTTTTTAAATAAAGCATATTGTAAATAAAATGGGTCAAGTTTTCCAGTACTGTTTTTAAGTCAAAACTATTATGACTTATGAAGTATGCTTCCCCAGATTTAAACAGGCATTATCCGGAAAAAGGTTTCCACAGTCACAAGTGGAGATAGACTGAAGTTATGTTTCTTTAACAATACCGTTTATTTATTCATCAAATGTTTACTAAGCAGCTACCATTGTGTGAGACATGTTTAGTAAGCTAATGAAAATGGGAATCTTCTAAGAACATAGTAATAAAGCGTATCACATTTGTGAGTCCAAAGAAGACAATTTCCACAGGACAAATCACAATCCTAGTGTTTCATGGGACACGTTTTAAGGAAAATTGTTATAAATGAGTCAGAATAATTTTTCTTACGTGGTTCCAACTGGCTCTGGAGATAATTCCAAAGAGAAAATGCCAAAAATGAACAGCATGTAGCCATCCAAAAGAACTCCCTTGAAAGTAACATTTACTGGAGGTATAATTCATTTTTAAAAATCAGTTTCAGATACAAAGTGATCAGTCTCAAAAATAAAATAGCTCTAATGCTAAACAGGCAAACAAATTAGCCAAATGTAGAAATATTTACTCACTTGTAATGGATACACTAATCTATTAAACACAATGTGGTACCCTGGATTAGATCATGGAACAGAAAAGGGACAGTAGCAAAAAAAAACCGGTAAAATCAGAATAAAGTCTGTAATTTACCATTATCATTGGTAATACACCAATAATAATAATCTCTGTTCTGATAAAGGCACTAGCTTTATGTCAGATGTTAATAATCAGGGAAACTAGATAAGAGTATATACAAACACTACACACCCTTTGCAACTTTTCTATAAATATAAAATTATTACAAAATAAAGTCTTAAAAAAACTAATCTAAGAATATTCTGGGATACCTAGTAATGTGGCTAACAGATAATCAGATCTAATTAAGGGGGAAAATTAGGAGCCAATTTAGTATCTTTGTTAATTAAACAAATTGTCTAATTTAAACAAATTCCTGTTTCTTACACTAAAATTTTACTTAAATGCTTTCCTATATTTGGCATTCTAAATTTAATAAAACATAGGAAGCCCATCTACTGGCATTCTAAATAATTAAAACATAATAAGCCTATATAGGGTGTATTTTAAATGGCTGATGATACGTGTATATCCAATTAAATCCGTATTGGTAATTTGGGAATATACATGTTAAAGTCAGAAATTGTTTCTGGGTAAATTCATTTTTACAGACAACAGAATATATGCAGCTAAGTATATAAGTGAATAATCTGCATAATTCAAAATTATTCATTTACTCATACATGTGTTAAGCATCTACTACAAAGCATTTTAAGTCTAGTGAAATGAACCCATCTGAAAGTCGAAAAACTCACAATTCAAAATGACATAAACATATAAGCAAATACAACACATATAAACATCACAACAAAATGCTAAATGCCGTATTGAAGGGCTTCACAGAGGAAGGTGAAACTCTGGAAGCTAACAAAGGCTAGGCAGGTGATGATGTGTAAGCTGGATCCTAATGGTCCAGAGGATATTCTAGGCAAAGGGAACAGCATGTCTTAATTATGAATGGCTGAGTTTGGTCCTGATGGACCATTTATAAAGACTCAGAATACAACTAAAAATAATTGGTACTAATTTGTCAAATAAAATTTAATCTGAGTCCGAAGATATTTCCTGCTTTAAAATATGTTTCATCTGTAATTCTCAGAGAATTATACTGAAGTCAGGTTTAGTTTATACTAACAAAATAGCCTAATTGCTTTTCAAGTGTTTCAAGTATTAATAGAACGCAAAAAGATGAGATTTAGAAAGTGTCAACAGCAAAAAAAAATTTCACTTTAGGCCGGGCGCCATGGCTCACACCTGTAATCCCAGCACTTTGGGAGGACGAGGCGGGCAGATCACCTGAGGTTAGGAGTTCGAGACCAGCCTGACCAATATGACGAAACCCCGTCTCTACTAAAAACAAAAAAGATTAGCTGAGTGTGGTGGTGCATGCCTGTAATCCGAGGCTGAGGTGGGAGAATAGCTTGAACCTGGGAAGCAGAGGTTGCAGTGAGCCAAGATCACACCATTGCACTCCAGCCTGGAAGACAAAAACAAAACTCCGTCTCGAAAAAAAAAAATTACACTTTACAAAAACTCACTTTAAAACACCTTCAAAGTAAACCTATGAATTCTATCCTATTATTTCCTAAAACACACACACACACACACACACACACACACACACACACACATACACACCTAACAATAAATCACTAAAGCTATCAAAGGCCAAAGAGGTTATATACTAAGATGAAGTTGTCTCTCACGTAGTCTACATTTGTGTCTGTGGGTGTGTGTGTAGGGGGGTGGTGTGAGGGGAGCAAAAATTTATCAGGAGACTAATATCGCTCAAGAAAAGTTATACAAGGCAATAGTGATGGTGGTGGTGATGGGGGATTGGTCTATGTATGATAGTAAGTGAAGGCCTCACAGCGTAACATTTGAACCAAAATCTCAAGTGAGGTAGTGATCAATGCATAAATGCCAAAGAGCAATCCAGACAAAGACCCAGAAGTACAAAGGTCTTAAAAGTGGAGCACACTTGATGCCTTCAGCCCCCATACCATCGTTTAAAATAAGCAATTTCATCAGGCATGCTTACCAAAAACAAATTCCTAATAGGCAGTAGCAGTAGAAGAACAAACTACCACCAGTAATGATAAAACAAAACTTCTTGTGCTCAAACTTCAAGACAGGCATTGTTCTACATGCTTTGTATCTATAATTCTCAATCAGAGGTGAGTATGCCCATGCAGAGAACATTTGCCATGTCTAGAGACATTTTTGGCCATCACAACTGGAAAGGGTACTATTTGCATCTAGTAAACATACTATAATGCACTAGGACAGCCCCACACACACACAAAAAATTATCCAGCCAAAAATGTCAACAGTCAAGTTTAAGAAATTCTGCTCTACATTTTTTAATTCATTTAATCCTCAAAACAACCTTATATTATTATCCTGATTATATAAAAATTGAAATAAAATGAAATTAGGATCAAAGAGTTTAAATAATTTGCCATAGTAGGTGATGGAACTAAAAGTTGTTTGGTTTTGTTTGTTTGTTTGTTTAAGCTATCTCCTACAGGAAGAACAGAGCTAAAATCTGAACCCAGAAAATTTCATTTAAGAGTCAATGTGCTTACAACTGCCCTATGTGTTTGTAAGGTTAAACTCACTGGATATTTACTGTGTGCAAGGCATTGTGCTAAACAAATTAAATGCATCATGCCATTTAATCCTCACAACCAAACCATTAGGCAGGTACTATCATCCCCAATTTACAAGAGAGGGGCTAAAGTTTAGCAAAGTTACACCCAATATTACAAAATAAATAAGTGACAGAGCCAGGACTCAGATCCACTCTGCATTACACTAAGGTCAGTTCTTAACTACTATGATATAACAACACTAAAGATGAATCATGGGTTATCCATCCTTCGAGGACAGAGTCAAAAATTAATAAGTGGTTAGGCCATGTGGTATGACACAATACTACAAAGTATCATTCTACAAAGCAATTCAACCTAGTCATCTACTCTACACCCCCACTTCAAATCTGGTTCAGTTTCGTTAGTTAGAATCTATTGGCAAGACATCATTATAGAAAGCAAGGATCATAACTTTTCTAAATGTATCTGGTAAAAAGAAGATATCAAAGTGTCTGCTGCACAAAGACAACTAAGACCAAAGCAGACCTAAGTCCCTAGGAAAGGATCTGAAGATGTTGAAACTGGCAAACACAGAATTACAGTAGCCAACAGTAACAAGAAAGAGTTAACTTCAAAGTTTACAACTATATTGGCATTATATCATAACTGACATTATAAGCATTAGGAATTTGAATAAACCACCAAAGTAGTGGACCTAGCTCATCATTAAAACTATGGCCTAGGGAGTAACAACCCAAGCTAACGTGTAATTGGCACACACTATATGCCAGGCCCTGTGTATCGTATGCATTATCTCATTAGTTCCTCACAGCGACCCTATAAGGTAGGTGCAATTATTAGTCCTTTCTCTTTAGAGCAAACTGAGACCTAGATAATTACATAATTTGCCCAAGGTCACATACCCAATATTCCTACATTTGAACCCATTCAGTGTGATTCCTGAGCCTACACTTTTACACTCTATAATGCACTCTACACATTAATTTTTATGCTTTTAATATATCATTAATGAAATCTTAAAAAATGCTAGAAACAAAAGTGACTCATCCTTCTTCCAAAATAAAACAGGAATATGCACTTAGCCACCCTCTACACATTTAAAAAAAAACAAAATGTAAGCCTCAATGCATATGAACATCATTGGAGGAAAAGCAATTTATCAGCTACAAACTTTTCCATTTATTTTCAGTCTAAAACTTTATGCTTTCATGTGCCCAGCTCATGCAAATTACAAACGAATTAAAATGTTAAAGTTCAGCCTTTCTGTATAATCTACCACGCTCTTCGAAACTGTCTAATAAAGTTAGATTATGCCAACAGGTTAAAACTTCTGGAAATATCTTAAAATTTTTACTGAACTATTTCTCTATATCCACTCTTCACTGTATAATAGTCATAAAATTTTAAAATACCATTAAAAATGGTCTAAATTAAGCACATTATGCAGGACAATAATTGTCAAGTCCACACATATAGCAATTCCTCATAAAACTCTTGATATTTTCCCCTTTAACTCTAATACACTGATTAACATCAGATGTCAATGAATCTTGTTTCCCAGACTATAATATCTTTACTGAGAATAGAAACAGCCTCAGGGTCTCATGTATGTTTAATCACATCAATACTCTCAATATCTTTCCATGTGTAATCAAAGGGCAACAATTAAAGAATATTTTTTGACTGTGTTCTCAAAAATGCAACAGTATCATAAATGTCTAACAGTTTGCCAAGCAATTTTTATAGTTGAAAAAGTGTCTATCCTTCTGAAAAGATACTCCAGAATTCTGAGAGAGTGCTCCAAGAAGAAATAAGAGAAACAGAGCCCAAGATGTACTTTTCCAGAAAAGAAAAAAATCCAGCAGCCACTTGTCAGAAAGAATTCTTGAAATGTGGATGAATAAAAACTGTTAGAAATCAGCACCCTAAGAATCCTGAACTCCTTGACACTGTGTGGTGAAATATGTATTGGTAATACACAAACCTAAATGTTGACCAAAAAATCTCATTATCTCACTAAAAAACAGAAAAGTTATTATCTCCAGAAAAAACATATGTAAAAAGGATTTTATGAGAAATTTAAATGGATCTTAAGAAGGCAAAATGTATCAAAAAAGCAAACACCATCCCACCATGTTAAGGAAGATAAACATCATCTATTTCAGTAACTGAAACACAGAATTGTATGTATAATTTTCATTCACCAGTTTTTCCAAGTAGGCCTTATACTATGAAAAAAATCTAAGCTCTTGATTTTGCAATACTCCAAATTGCCACTTGCTGCCTCCCAACTTTTATAAGTAATACATTACATAAGTCAAAGACTGTCAACTTTCCTAGTGGATTCCAATACTCAATAAAATTTAAATTTTAATAACATAGTTTGAAATGATTAAAGACAAATTCCTTTCGATTTTTCTATCTTGAAATGTGCATCTGACCAAACCAATTTTTTACCTACATTTACATAGACCACTTCTCAGAGGTGACTTTTCTGATTATGCAACATATAAGTATACCATAAGATCAACATGATAAAGTTATCTGAAGTCTATCCCAACAAGAGAGAATGCATAATTCACGTGTATGCAAAAGCAGTAAAATAAACTATATTTTTCTATTCTTCAATAAATGAACCTATAAAAAATGTAAATAAGAGGCAAACTTTGGTCCCATCACTGGCTCATTTTTATCATTTTGACAAATTACCGAGTACAGCTATCTGAAAAAGCTTAAAATCTAAAGTTGTAATCTTTTTACATAAAAGTAGCCCGTTTCGGGACTGATTGTGTGGCTCAATCAGAGGAATCATCACTCCTAAAAGTCTGCCACTAAACTCTGCTACTATCACCAGAAAATGAAGTATGTATTGTAAAATAATAATAACAGTGATAATGACGATGATGAAGGAAAGAATCATTATGGTAATATATAGCCAGTAAACAGATGAATGAAGAGAAAAATTAGTGGGGAAAAGGTCTAAGTGATAACTAAACTTTAAAATTACTATTTAAAATAACAATAATCTTTACACAACACCTTTTTGTGCTGTGGAAGGGAGCTATAAATTCAAAAACATAAGTATGCTACAATAGAAAAGTTTCTGGTGCTTTGACTCAACATGTCGCTCTAACACAAACATACATCTTTTTCTACAAATATTTTCACAGTTCCAAACACTTCATTCAGGAATCGAAAAATGAATAATGGAGGCGTAGTTTTGTTAGGCCTTTAACAATCATTTTGTCAAAGGGAAGACAAGTTCGACCCCAAAATAGTAACTAAATACAACAACGTACTGTTTAAGTACTCCCTACAGAGTTTACTGCATTGGTTTTTAAATTTAGCTTAAAATAAGATAGTAAAGTTAGTATTTAGAGAAGCCTCAATAATCGATTATTCTTTTTAAATTAAATATCGCTACATGTAATGCAGATTAGGACTAGAATATTAAAGCAGTGTTGCCACTTAACATTAATCCATGAACATATTCTACGCGTGACTACTGGAAAGCACTAATAACCACCCCAATCTAGTCTCTAGGAATTGGCATTTAAAAGCCCAAAGATGGAAAAAGGTCACCTAACCCGGCAACACATCCTGAGGGAAAGGAGGGACACAGGACTCCGTGCGCGATATCAACATTCTCTTCCTTTCTACTCTCCGCACCGCCCCCGCCCCCCGTGTCAGGTGATCAGTTATTTAGCACCATTAACACGTACGTATCGACAAGTGGTTCATTAAATTACATGTATTATCGGAAGGCAAGAGTCTAGGCTTCTCATTTCAAACTAAGCAAAAGGAGTCCACAGTTTGAGTCCCGGGCACAAAAGCGCGCGGTAACTGGAGGATAAATGGAAGAGCAACTCTCATCTCCAAAAAGCAGCAGCAGGGAGCAGCCTAGCAGCCAGGGCCAGTCCCAGTTTCCCGAAACCAAGGCCCAAAGCTCCATGCTGGGGCTCCCTGAGAAGGAAGAGGCCCCAACGGCCGGATCCGGGGGCCTGCGAGACGGGCCTTCCAGGCAGCGCCCGCCGTGCCTCGGGCCTGCGCGCCCGCGCCTCAGCGGCGGCGGGGCGCCCTCGCAGCAGACGGCTGGGTACCAGTGGTCGGGAGAGAGGCCGTGGTCCCGACCCTCCGCCTGGCGACCGCGTCGCTGCGACTCCCTCCCCAGCCCGCGGTCCAAATGGTCCACAGGCGCCAGCGGCGCGGCCCAGGTAGGCCGAGGACGTTGCGCAAGAGGCCCGAGAGGCGATCTCTCGGCTGCGCGGGAGAAAAGCGCGGAGAGTCCGCCGCGGGAGGGGCGGAGAGGCCCGCGGAGGCGCTGTGCGTGTGGAAGGGGATGGGGGAGGGGAGGATTGCCCGTCTCCCTGGCCGCGGCCACAGCCGCAACTCACCCAGCTCCGCCAGACGAGCGCTACCACTGGCAGCAAGAGGAAGATGGTGGACGCTGCCGCCGCCGAAGAGGAGGAGGAGGGGGCCCGGTGGGTGCCGCGGAGAGGGGGTACGCGCAGGACGTCGGCGTCGCTGCCACAGCCTCTTTTCCTCCTGGGACCAAATGGCTGCTGCTGACGACACTATTCTTGGCTTCCGCGCCGCCCTCCTAATCCTCGTTGCAGCCGCCGCCGCCCTGAGCCCGAAGGTCGCTTGCCGCGTGGGGACGGTGCGACGGCGCGAGACCCCGCAGCCATCGGCGTGCGGCGGCGGCGCGGGAGCTGGAGAGGGGCCGTGTCACGTGACCCCACTGTTTACCGTTCCGGGGGCCGCGGCCTGCGTCGCTGCCGCGCCTGCGCGCTTTAGGGCCTCGAGCGCCGCGCCTCCGTGGGGCCCCGGGCTGCAGCGCTTCCCGGCGTTGCCGCGCCCCTCCCTGTCTTCGGAGGACGCGGCACCGCCTGCGGGCTTCTAGCTCACACCTCCGCGCCGCCGGGAGGGGCGAATCAGAGGAGCGCTTTTTCTCGACCGTAGTAAGCACTAAGGCTTCACAGTTAATATAATATTGATGCGCAGCTCCCCAACCCCAGGTACTTTTTATTAATTGACTGTGAGTTCAAGAATGGTAGAATAGGATGGAGTAGATGAGCCCTCTGCCCAAATATCTGTGCTGGCTCGGCACAGCAGCCTTACCATTAACTACCTCCGTTACCCTCACCCTACATGGCTGATCTACCTCAGGACTCAAATTGCTACCTCCAAGAAACATTCTTGGTATCCAGTAAGCAGTCTTCAGAATGTGGTCCCAGGTTTCCCTGAGGGGTCGCCAAGACCTTTCAGTAGAGCCTCCATTCCTTTGCCAGGAGCATGTGTCTAAGGCCAAATTTTCTTCCCACCCTTCAACCAAAACAGCATATAGCAGCTGATTCAATGCAGAAACAGATAAGAGAATCCAGCCATCTTCTATTAAGCCAGACATTGAGGAAATCTGCAGAAATTTTAGATATCACCCTTTTATTAATTTGGAAAATATGCTTTTCATAAATACATTATTTGTGGTAACAAATATTGTGTAGAGGTCCAGAGACAAAAAAAGTTTGAGACCCACTGGTCTGCTTCCACAGACACTTGAGCTAACCCCTATCTCAGCCCTTAATAAGCGCTGTGAAGTAATTGTTGCTTGTCAGTCACTCCAACCAAAAGGAGCTACTTAGGGACAGGGTTTGTGGCTTTTATCTACAGGGACTATTACAGTATTCAGCCAGTACCTGCTGAGCACCTTACTGTGTGGTCTGCACTGTTCTAAAACCTTTACAGTACTTGTTGATTTAAGCTTTAGACCAACCGCAGCCCACATTGTAAGATTAGTGCAGGGTGGAAGAATAAGTCACAGGCATGTGGTGAAGATCTGTTCTTTCCTCTCTCTAGTCTTCTGATATTTTAAGCACTCTTAATAGCAAATGCTCTTCTACAAAGGAAGTTTGGGTTGTCCTGATTCCACTGGATTCTTAAGAGTTTCACCCCCTGTCTTGACTAATCAATCCCTCAAGACTTTGTTTTACAATCTTTTTGTAATGTGTTTTTGAGAAAGGAAAATAGAAATGAGTAATTTTTTTTTTTAATTCTCACTTGGGATGTCTGGGATGAATTATAAAAACAAGCCTAATGTTATTCTTACTCTTCTGGTGGATCTCAGTGTGACGTTTTAAAAGGGCGTTCAGAAAAAGTAAAATTATTGTTATAAACAAAATCCAACCCCGAAGGAATTCAACAGAGTAGAACTTGATGACGGAGACCACTAGCTGGAAAATCCCTTAGAAGGGCTGAGGAAAACTTACCTTCTCAGAGAAGTTTTAATAAATTTAAGATAAAACAAAATGGAGATTAAAAGAAAATGTAAGAATCATAAGACTGTCACATTTACAAAGCAAAGATTTCTGATCCTTAAAAAGTCAACAAGCTTGCCATAGGCATGATGTTTTGATTCTGTTATTTTGAACCAGCCAAGTGCCCAGATTCACATTTGTCCACTAATGGTCTTTGCTTTTTGCTTCCAGATGTAAACACGAACTGTTTATCTTATACCCAATTCATAGAAAGGTTAGTAGAAGAAAGAACCAGCATAATAATACTGGCAACAGCTATAACTGCACACAGGACTTATTGGAAGATCAGATTGTATCAGTAACATTGAAAACTCCAAATTAACTTGGGAAAATTAAATTTGGTAGGAAAACAAGACAGAGTAATTGATAATGACTAAAACTGACAGTGTATTTGTATTTAACTAAAAAATTATCAAAGAAGGAAAAGTGATAAAATTTGGATCTTGCAAAACATTGACCCAAGAAAACTGAGCCTGGCAGAGATTAAGACCATGGAAGACAGTAAACAATGTAGACACAAAAGTCAATTTTGATATGAAAAATGCTTGTCATCACTGAAACATTGGTCCCTACAGTAATCAGTAAACTAAATATGGAAAAAAAAAATTGGAAGAATTAACCCCTATGAGCAGAAAGTCAATAAAAATATTAAATTTATTTAATGAAGTTTTTTCTGGCAAACACTTTGTAGACATGTACTTTCGTGTTAATTTAGAATAGATTTAAATGTTTGTATGCTTAAACACAGAATCAAAACAGTGGGGTCAAAAGATCTCAAACTCAGCCGGGTGCGGTGGCTCACGCCTGTAATCCCAGCACTTTGAGAGGCCAAGGCGGGTGGATCACCTGAGGTCAGGAGTTTGAGACCAGCCTGGCCAACATAGTGAAACGCCGTCTCTACTAAAAATACAAAAATTAGCCAGGCATGGTGGCAGTCCCATGTAATCCTAGCTACTCTGGAGGCTGAGGCAGGAGAATGGCTTGAACCTGGGAGGTGGAGGTTGCAGTGACCCGAGATGGCACCACTGCATTCCAGCCCGGGCATCAGAGTGACAGAGACAAAAAACAAAATAACTCAAACTCATTTTACCGAGATCATCATTGAACTTGGAGGCTTAAGTTACAACACTTTTTCTTACATCGTGGGCTTGCTGCCTTCCACACATTTTTTTTCCTAGTTTCTCCGGAAAGATGGCCCATAGCTACTCAGGCTTTCAGCAGTAAACAGTGGGTGAAAAGAAGTGCAAGCCCCACCGGGAGGTTAAAATTTCCATAGCTTACCTCTGTTCAGGGGGTGGTGCCTAGGAAGGCTGGGTCAAACAATAAAATAAAGCTTTTCCGTGCATCAGGACTGCACAAGCTATAAAGCACCTTTGTAAACTTCAGCAACGTTAAGGCACAGGAAAAGAGCAGAGAGAGACCTGAGGCATCAGATTTTTAACTAACTCTGTGATTAACCGTCTTTGTGACCTTATCTCTCTAAGCTCCTCTGCATTACTCTCCCTGCCAACACACTTCATTTGCTCATTTGTTTATTCATTTATTCCGTTATGCACCCCAATAGGTTTCAGAAATAAATGGTATTGTTCCTGCCCTCAAAGAACTCAGAAGAGTGGCAGTAGATAATTAGGATTCAGCCTGGTGTGACAGCAGTTGATGCAAAAGACCCATATTCGTGTTTTATCTGGCCTGGAGTGGGTATGGGGGCATTTCTGACAAAAGGGATGTCCTCAAGGTCAAAGAAGTACCAGAGAGCTTGGTGTGTTTCAGGAACTACAAATGATTCATTATCTGAATTGAACATGTTGCAGCCATGAAAATAATCAAAATTCTTTTAACAAAGAAACTATCTGTGATGTTGTCCCTCAGTGACAATATTACCTCCCTACTTGAAATCTTTTCATAGTTCTCCAAAATATAAAGAATAAAATCCAGGGGGGGCGCGGTGGCTCACGCCTGTGATCCCAGCACTTTGGGAGGCTGAGGCAGGTAGATCACCTGAGGTCAAGAGTTTGAGACCAGCCTGGCCAACATGGGAAAACCTTGTCTCTACTAAAAATACAAAACTTAGCCAAGCATGGTGGTGCGTGCCTGTGATCCCAGCTACTCAGGAGGCTGAGACAGGAGAATTGCTTGAACCCAGGAGGTGGCGGTTGCAGTGAGCCAAGATCACACCACTGCACTCCAGCCTTGGTGACAAAGTGAGACTCCATCTCGAAAAATAAAAATAAAAATAAAATCCAAACTTCTTAATGTAATCAAGGCCCTTTAGGATTGGTCCTTGCCAACTCTTCAGTCTCTTCTCTCCCTGTTTCCTGCTTTTTAACTTATGATACAACAATACCTAATTACTTACTGTTTTCTACACACATCCACACAATGTCCCTCAACCTAAAGTTTTTGCTCATGCTGCTCCTTCTGACAGGAATGCCCCCTCCCAAATGACCCCAAAAGCCTCATAATTCCTCCTCTCACTTTATCTGAATTGTTCCTGCATCCCTTAAAGATGCAGTTCAATGCACCATCACACTTAATGGTGGAAAGATAGACGCATCTCCACTCAAACCAGGGTTACACAAGGCTGCCACTATCACCACCATTATTCAATATTTGCCAATACTAAAAGGCAAGAAAAGAAATAGTAGCTATAAAAAAAGAAAGGACACAAAAGACCATTATTTGCATATAATAAAAACTGCCTAACAGAGAATCAACAAAACAACTGCTAGCAGTAAAGAGTTGCCTTGGTACTATTTAAAAATCAGTGAAAAAAATAATGGCTTTCCCATAAACAGCAATCATCAGTAGAGTACAGTAGGGAAAATAAATTCCAACAAAAATATAAAACATTTAAGCAGCATAACAGGAAAAAAATGTGTGTTTTTTATATGTACACAAAAGGAAAGCTATACATATAAAGAAACAACCCAGAATAGCCAAAACAATATTGAAAAAGAAGTGGAAAGGTGGAGGACACACACTTCCTGATTTCAACACTTATAATGAAGTAACAGTAATCAAGACAGTGTGGTACTGGCATAAAGATAGACATATACATCAATGGAATAGAATTGAAAGTTTAGAAATAAAACCATGTGTCTATTTTCAAAAGACTTTTGACAAGAGTGCCAAGAATACAATGGGGAAAGAATAGTCTTTTCAACACATGGTCCTGGGAACCACTGATCAGCCACCTACAAAAGAATGGAGTGGAACCCCCACCTCAAACCACGTACAAAAATTACCTCAAAATGAATCTACCAGACTTCAGTTACAACAAAGAGGTGAAGGGCACCTGATATGGGATAGTGAAATACAACTTTTATCTGACTAAAGACTGGTTTCCCAGTTGCTAGAGCAATCATTTGTACTCTGAGCACATTCAGAATTAGAATCACAAGATACGATTGAAAGCAAGTTTATGTTGCATGCTCCTAGGCCCAGAAAGTAGAGAAGCAAAAGGAAGGGTCTTTAGTTTAAAAACACAGCAAATGTTATAGCTCTCCCTACTCCAGGCAGAAGACTAAAGGTTAAGTGTCCCCTGAAGTTTGTGGTTTCCCAAGATGCTGCATCAACCAGTCCAAAGGTGGAGAAGCAACTTGAACTGCAAGCACAGTAAATTGGAGCAAGAGCAGAATGCATGTCCATTAGGCAAGGCTGCCTTTGGAATGAGGGTTAGGGGACCTGCTTCTTATGGGGCTAAATAGAACCATGCCTTTTCTCAAAAGGGACCATGCTAGCATTCCTGAGCTAGGTGCCCACTCATAAGCCTTTCAGATTATTTCACTAAAAGCCAATAACTTGTTTGTAATTTGTGTTTAAATTCCAACTATAACAGAAGAAAAAAGTTGTAAAATCTTGTGTACAACTTAATGTCTACAGAGAGAGAAAGCCTCAAGAAAATGTAAAATTTGCTTGGAGGGTCCAGGCTCTACAAGGACATTTTTTTCAGGAAGTCCCGCCAATACAAATATGTAGAAAACTTGGTTGATCACAAATTGGAATTCAGAAGACATATTGGAAAGATTGGAAGGGAGGGCCAGAAATGAGGATTTCCTCAAACTAGAGGAGGTGCTGGGAGTTGAAAAGGTGAAATTGTGTGATAGCAGACAACCAGGGAAGTCATATGATAAGAACATTCTAGAAGAAGAAAAGGCTAATTCCAAGATACTATAGTAGTAACACATTTGGGAGGTTCTAGAAGCAGAAAGAAGGCTAGTCTGACTGGAGTATAGGGTGCAAGACAGAAAGATGAGAGATTAGCAAGAACAAGGCAAGATGTTTAGAATCTACTGTAAATAAAATGAGAAGCTGTGGGAGTGTTAAAAGCAAAAAGTGACATCTGATTTTTTTGGTAACAGTTGTTATTAAGATATAATTCACATACCATATAATTTGCCCATTTAAAGTGTACCACTCAATGATTTTTTGGTACTTTTTTAGTATATTTAGTGCATTTAGCACAGAATTGTACAACCATCACCACAGTCAATTTTAGATCATTTTCATAGTGCCAAAAATATTCCATACCTTTTGGTCGTTACCACCCATGCTTTATTCCCTCACCAGCCCTAGGCAACCACTAATATGTCATTAATTGTCTCTGGATTTGTCTATTCTGGACACTTCTTACAAATGGAATCATATAACGTGGTCTCTTGTGACTGACTTCTTTTACTTAGCTTTAATGTGTTCAAGGTTTGTTCATGTTATAGCGAGCATCAGTACTGCACTTCTTTTTATTACCAATAATATTTTATTGTATGGGTATACCACAATTTTAATCCACTGACATTGATGGACATTTGGGTTGTTCCTACTTTTTGGCCTTTATGAATAATGCGACATAAACATATACAAGCTTCTGTGTGGACATACACTTTCACTTCTCTTGTGGTTATACTTAGAAATGAAATTTCTGGGTCTTATGACAGCTTTATGTCTAGCAATTTTTTTTTTTTTTTTTGAGACAGAGTCTTGCTCTGTCACCTAAGCTGGAGTGTAGTGGCACAATCTCAGTTCACTGCAAACTCCGCCTCCTGGGTTCAAGCAATTCTCGTGCCTCAGCCCCCCAAGTAGCTGGGATTACAGGTGTGCACCACCATGCCTGGATAATTTTTGTATTTTTAGTAGAGATGGGGTCTCACCATGTTGGCCTCGCTGGTCTGGCCACCTGGAACTCCTGGCATCAAGCAATCCACCTGCCTCAGCCTCCCAAAGTGCTGGGAATATAGGCGTGAGCAACCATGCCTGGCCTATGTTTAACAGTTTTAAGAATTGCCAAACTGTCTTTCAAAGCAGCTGTACCATTTTACATTCCTAAACAGTAATGTATACAGGTTCTAATTTCTCCACTTCCTCTCCAACACTTGTTATTATCTGACTCTTTGATTATTTATATCTCATTAGGTGTGAAGTAGTATCCCATTGTATGATTTTCAATAAACCTACTCATATTTTCTGTTTTCTCTTGAGTCTAATTAGTTGTTATAGTTTCCTAGGAAATTGTTCATAATGTCTACATTTTCCTATTTAGTAGCACAAACTTTTTATTTTTATTATTCTCTTACTTTTTCAGGTCCTTTGTATTTATTTATAGCTTTATCAACATTTTTTTCCTCATTTTTCTAAGGTTCTGCTTTCTACAATTTTGTTTGAATAATTTTACCAAAGGTTTGTCTATTTTGTTATCATTTTAAATCATTTTCAGCTTTGTTAATCCACTCTACTACATCTTTGTTTTCTATTCTTTGATTTGTCTTACACATTGCTCAAACTACTTTAAGGAAAATGAATTTCAGCCAAACAAGAGTGAACAATTATGGTTGAATGCCTATAAAAGCGAAAATAACAGATATTCCATTGTAGAAATCCAAGAGGCTGAGAAAAATAGTGTTGCATGGACCAGTGTGGTAATAATAGGATTGAAGGAGATTTAAACACAGCCAGACTATCTTTTGTAAGTAGAACTGGCAAGGTATACTAATGGATTAGATGCGGGACTAAGGAGAAAGAAGTTAAGAAGTTCAAGATTTGGCATCTAAGTAACAGGATGAAAGATGGTATTATTTGCTGGATTTGGAGAAGATTGGTGTGGGAGCAGATTAGGGTGCAGGGGTACAATGATTCTGTGGTAGGCATTTCACAAATTTTATGTTGGAAATATCTGTGAGATATCCAAGTGAGACTTTAAAATGAATAGTTGGATATAAAAGCTTAGAATTCAGGAGTGATGGTAGAGCTGAAGTTATGAATTTTTCAAGCAGTCAGCATACACTAGATGATACTTAAAGCCACAGGACTAGATTAGATTACCTGAGGAGTAAATGTAGACAGAAGGATAAAAGGAGCTGAGATGGATCTGTGGAGCATGGCAACGTGTAGAGGTTGAGAGGAGGATGTAGCAGAAATCTTATACCCAGGAAATTGCTTCAGGTGATCTCTGGAAGCTGACACAATCATGCATGTGAGGCCAGACAAGATAGTCCTTCCTGATTATACTTTATTTATTTATTTATTTATTTATTTATAGACACAGTTTGACTCTGTCCCCCAGGCTGGAGTGCAGTGGCACGATCTTGGCTCACTGCAACCTCCACCTCCGGATAGCTGGGATTACAGGTGCATGCCACCATGCACGCTGGGCTAATTTTTGTATTATTAGTAGAGACTTGGTTTCGCCATGTTGGCCAGGCTGGTCTTGAACTCTTAACCTCAGGTGACTCGCCCACCCGCCTCAGCCTCCTAAAGTGCTGCAATTACATGGATTACGTGCATGAGCCACCATGCCCAGCCAATACTTTTGATACATATTTAAAGAAAAGCTTATGATACAAAGTTTTGTGTACTGCTTCAAGAAGATGTTTCTGATTATTTTCAGAAAAGGTCTTAAGATTGTTGTGCCCTTCGCTATGCATATGCCATCAGGGAAATTCAGAAGGTGGAAATTTCTGAAAGTCAAATGACCCAGTTTCTTCAATAGATTAATGACATTTAAAAAAAAACTAGAAAGGGAAGGTGAAATATTATTGATTAAAAGAGACTTAAAAAACACATGAAACAAATACAGTATGTGGATTTTCTTTGGATTCTGGTTTGAACAGACTAGTAAGCAACTGAACAAACTAATAACTGAAACGTAAAGACATTTTAAGGCAATTGGAGAAAATTGAACAGACTAAATATTTAAGGCCTTTAGAAATTTTTGTTTAGTGTGATAACTGTATTGAGCTATGTTTTCTAAAAATCCCTTGTTTTTTAGAAATTCTTGTGGACACTCATATAGGTGAAACTGTCTGTTATCTAGAATTTTATTTTAAAAACTCCAGAAAAAATAATTAAGATTAAAATTAATGGATGGAGGCTAGATGAAAGAAGAATGACAAAATGCTAATAATTATAAATACTAGGAGATGGGTACAAGAGGGCTTATAATACTGTTCTCACTCTGCTTTTATGTATGTTTTTAAAATTTCACAATAAAAAGTAAAATTAGAAAATCGTTGCTTTCACATGTGCTTATTTATTTATTTGAGATGGAGTCTCGCTCTATCGCCAGGCTGGAGTGCAGTGGTGCAATCTTGGCTCACTGCAACCTGCACCTCCTGGGTTCAAGGGATTCTCCTGCCTCAGCCTCCTGAGTAGCTGGGACTACAGGAGTGGTCACCACGCCCAGCTAATTTTTGTATTTTTAGTAGAGCGAGGTTTCACCATGTTGGCCAGGATGGTCTCAATCTCTTCACCTTGTGATCCGCCTGCCTCGGCATCGCAAAGTGCTGGGATTACAGGTGTGAGCCACCGGGCCCGGCCCACATTTAATATTTTTTCATGAACTACTTCTTTTATACAAACACATTTAATGTTTTAAGCTTTGGATCTAAAAATGTGGCAGAGGAACACAAATTTGGTTTTAAGAAAAAAAAATCACTTCCAATATTTTAACCTCCTCCTCAGTTTTCATTATGTGCTTATAATTTCCAAAATCTCCCTTGAATTTAAATGACAGGAGGATCTTAATGCCAGCATGTGAGAAATGCTTGCCCTCTCAGGACACGTCAATTTGGTTTCTTTTTTTTTTTTTTGAGACGGAGTCTGGCTCTGTTGCCTAGGCTGGAGTGCAGTGGCGCAATCTCGGCTCACTGCAAGCTCCGCCTCCCCAGTTCACGCCATTCTCCTGCCTCAGCCTCCCGAGTAGCTGGGACTACAGGCGCCCGCCACCGCGCCCGGCTAATTTTTTGTATTATTAGTAGACACGGAGTTTCACCGTGTTAGCCAGGATGGTCTCGATCTCCTGACCTCGTGATCCGCCCGCCTCGGCCCCCCAAAGTGCTGGGATTACAGGCGTGAGCCACCGCCCCCGGCCCAATTTGGTTTCTTCTTAAGCAGCCAACTAACATCTTTTGCAGGTAATCATTCATTGTTAGTAAGTCCTGCCAGGCTAGCATTATAATCTACCAAGTATGGTAAAAAGTCTTTATTTTGTTCCCGCAAAATATGTAATAGCATATGTAATAGCAGATATTCCATCTTGCTTGAATAGTTTGTATGAGAACATGAAAAAACAATTCCAAAATCTGAGTCTATCAAATTAATATTCTACTTTTAATTCTTCCTCACATAAGTGAAAGATTCTCAAAAGGAATTTTTTTCTTCAAAAACTTCATAATACAAATGAAGTTAAATAACAAAATTTAAAATACAATTCTTAAAAATTATTTTGATGCTATGAATTCTAATTTTTAAAAGTTCTGCAAAGATTATAACTATGATGATGATAAAATCTAATCTCTATTATTCTGTCTGATACTATTTTTGAAATTTTTGCAAACATCTCTTGACTCGAAATTGATACACTATTCTTAAAGTTGTCTAGCCAACATTTTCTTTTAACATTGATATGAATCATAACTCTATAACCTTTTGTATTTAATATTTGAAAATCCTTAGAAATTGTCTTGGTGCATTAAATTAACAACTTTTATAATCATCATTAATCACTGCATCATTTACTCTTGTAATAATATAAATATATATATTTGTACTTTAAGTAATTGATAAAGTTTCCAAATTTAAAGCCCTTGAGGACTTTGATTTTTAGGATACTTATTTATATTTTAAAGTGTATATTCAGATATCAATACATTCAAGTGACATGTTTAGTGTATATACTAGGTTGTCAGGCTTATTGTTTAGGATAGTAACCTATGTGTTCACAGAATCACTGTTCAAGTTCAGGGATGTATAGAATAACGCTGAAAAATGTACTCAGCTATTTAGCCATCCAAAGAAAAGCCAAAACCAAAGTGGTATTGAAGATTTGAGCTCATAACCAAGGCAAAGTCTGGACTACAAAGGAAACGACAGTATCATTTGTAGGATTTACACTGTCTCAAGGAGTCTCACTGGAAGTGAGTTGGATCTACAATAGAGCAAACAGTTAACAATACCTCTTCTCACTACAAAATACGTATTTTCTTAATCAGTGTGGTTAGAGTGGCCACCAAAATCTGATGCCAGGAGCATCAGTAATCTCAGTTACATTCTGAAGTGTTTGCAAGTTCAGTATGCAAGAAACATAGACCCACACAATTAGATGAAGGCTTGGCCTCTGGACTTGGGAGTATGGCCACAAATTCTTTTGTCGAATTGGGTCATAGCTCTATGGGCAGAATTTTAGAATTTCAGCAGCAGATATCTGAAAGTGTCATCATAGGGAAATGATAGGTAATCTAGCCACAGGAGTGAATGAGGTTCCAAGTAAGAAACTTAGCCCTGGAAGGGCAGGTGCTTGGGTAGGAACCTGGTCCCAGAGAGGAGAATGGTTTATAGGATATTGTACCAGTAACCTGGAAATGTAAATTTATGATGTGGACTCATGCACTGGGGCTTTTAGGTGCCAAGGTCAGAGCCAAAGCAACAGTGAGACTGACTATGCTGAGCTGTTAAATAACTGCTCTTGAATTAGACTCTTACAAACTTCTGTCCAGGAGGCCAGGGAAGGGGCTAACAGAGAAAACAAGCCACGTTTGTTGAGAACGATTGCTGAACACTGTACACACATTATTACATTTAAGTGCCTCTACAATCCTACAAGATTGTTAATCTCATTTGGAGATAAGAAAGTTTAAGTAACTGGATGCAGGTTTTAGCCAGGAGTCATGAAGTTATAATTTGAACTCAGGTCTTTCTGCCTCGCCTCCTCACTCTATGCTTTTTCCTCAGAACTTTGATCGAAGCTTTTTCTTCATTTGATCAGATTTGCTTCAATCTGTATCTAAACATAATCTGTATCTGCTCTTTTCTTTTTCTTTCTTATCTCGATATAAGAGAGGCTCTTTTCTAGATGCAGTGGCTCATGCCTGTAATCCCAGTATTTTGGAAAAACAAGGTGGGAGGATCATTTGAGCCCAGGAATTGATGCTGCAGTGAGCTATGATCACACCACTATGCTCCAGCCTGAGCAACAGAGGGAGACCGTGTCTCAAAAAAAAGTAACACATGTTTATTGATTTAAAAACAAACCTTAAAGAAGTTATAAAAGTAGAAGTCCCCGCATACCTGCCCTCACTACCAATTTTACTCCATGTAATGTGTATCCTTCTAAATATTTTTTCTAAATATTTTTATACATAATGTATATCAAATATTTGCAACTGGACTTTCACTTGTTCTCCTGATCCCAATTACTATGCACTAGTCTGACCTCTGGCCCAATCAAATAGCAATGGGAGAATTCTCAGTAAAAGGCACTAGAATGCAAGTTATTTGAAGGCAGGGATTTTTGACTGTTTTATTCACTGATATACACCTAGCTCCTCAAACAGTGTCAAGTACATAGTAGTGGTTCAATAAATATGTATTGAATGAATGAATGAATCTCTGACAAAAGCCAAGAGGGGAGATTAGCGCAGAACAGCAGCTGGCCTGGAAGCTAACAGATAAAAATGTAGTAGATGAGAAAATGATCTGGCTACTGCAATAATTAGAAAGACTGATAAGTAGCATCTTAGACCACAGAAAGTAGAGGACATCTTATTAGGTGACTCCTTGGATATTAGGGAGCCATGTTTCAAAACTTGAGTATGGGCTGGTCTCTAACTCGCCGGGTGATAGGGGAAGTAGTGCATCGCCTCTGCTTGGCACCATGAGGTAGGATGTAGGGCTCGTGCCTGAGTGAGCCCTTTTAGGAAAAGTGGTGCTGGGCCAGGGTCTTCCTTCACATCTGAGGTGCTTTATGTGCACCACCACCCTCTAAGCCAAAAGAAGTTCTGAAACATTAGATTCGTCTGAGTCCAGGACAATTTCGCCCTTTTGAACACAAGCTCCCAAAACCTTCTACTTCTCAGTATATTGTAATGGTTAAGAGCACATATTCCTCCTATCCAATACTGGCTTTACCAGTTGTTCCAATGACATACTGTATAATGTAAGGCAAATTGCTTAGCCTCTTGGTGGGTTAGTTTTTTCGTCTAAACAAATGGAAATGACAAGAGCGCCTATTTCCTAGGATTGTTGTGAAGATTAAATAATTACTGTAAAGCTCTTAGAACATCACTTGGTGTTATGGACTGAATTGTGTGCCCCTAAAATTTATATGTTGAAGCCCTAACTCCCAATGTAACTGTATTTGGAGATAGGGCCTTTTAGGAGCTAACTAAAGTTAAATGAGGTCATAAGGACGGCCTCATATGACTGGTATTGGAGACAGCCATCTGCAAGCCAAGGAGAGAGGCCTCATAAGGAACCAACCCTGCCAACACCTTGATCTCAGACTTCTAACCTCCAGAACTGTGAGAAAAGAAATTTTTGTTGCTTAAGTGTGAAATAATTATATATAGATATGTAATTTATACAAACACATTTAATGTTTTAAGCTTTGGATCTAAAAATGTGGCAGAGGAACACAGATTTGGTTTTAAGAAAAAAAAATCACTTCCAATATTTTAATCTCCTTCTCAGTTTTCATTACGTGCTTATGATTTCCAAAATCTCCCTTGAATTTAAATAACAGGAGGATCTTAATGCTAGGTTCCGTATGAGAAATGCTTGCCCTCTCAGGACACATCAATTTGGTTTCTCCTTAAGCAGCCAATTAACATCTTTTGCAGGTAATCACTCATTGTTAGTAAGTCCTGCCAGGCTAGCATTATCATCTGCCAAGTATGGTAAAAAGTATTTTGTTCCAGTAGCCTTTTATATATGTAATAGCAGATATTCCATCTTGCTTGAATAGTTTGTATGAGAACATCAAAAAACAATTCCAAAAAGCCCTATCTCCAAATACAGTTACATTGGGTATATATATATATACACACGTATATACACGTGTGTATATATATATATATATACGTGTATACATATATGTGTATATATGTGTATTTATATATATATACGTGTATTTATATATGTGTATATGTGTATATATGTGTATATATGTATATATATGTGTATATATATGTGTGTGTATATATATGTGTATATATATGTGTGTGTATATATATATATGCCCCAGTTCCTGACTTTAAGCCACTAAAACCCTTGTAGATAGGGGTGCTAGGAGAATCTTCACTTTTGGCATTTGGTCTTTGATCCTGATTCCTGACACAGACCTCCTAAATATCTTGATATTTCCTGGGTTATAGGAGGATCTTTTGTTCTAATGAGGTGACTTTTGGTGGGCTCCTGAGTAGCCTCAGGATAGGAGCTTATTCCCAAGGGAAGCAATCGTATGACCAGAAGATTGAAACTTTCAGTGTCATTCCCAATTTCTGGGGAGGAGAGAGGGGCTGAAGGTTGAGTTGATCACCAATAGCCAGTGTTGTATTCAGTCATACCTATGTAATGAAACCTCCATAAAAACCTAAAAAGACAGGATTCAGACAGCTTCTAGGTTGCTGAACATGTGGAGGTGCTTGGAAGATGGTGTGCCTGGAGAGGGTATGAAAGCCCCCCCATACCTCTCCCTCCCTGTGCATCTCTTCTATCTGGCTGTTCACCTGTATTCTTTGTGATATCCTTATAATGAGTAAACATAAAGTGTTTCCCTGAATTCTTTGAGTGTCGTAGCAAATTATTGAACAAGAGGAGTTGGTCATGGGAATCCCAGTTTATAGTTGGTTGGTCAGAAGTACAAGTCACAACCTGGGACTTGCAATTGATGCCTCAAGTGAAGCCAGTCTCGTGGGACTGAGTTCTTAATCTGTGGGATCTAAAAAAATTAGCTGGGCATGGTGGTGCATGCCTGTGGTCCCAGCTACTCATGAGGCTGAGGCATGAGAATTGCTTGAACCTGGGAGGCGGAGGTTCCAGTGAGCCGAGGTCGACCCCTGCCCTCCAGCCTGAGTAACAGAGAGAGATTGTCTCAAAAAAACAAACAAACAAACAAACAAAAACTGTGGGGTCTAACTCTAACTCAAGTAGATAGTGTTTGAATTGAATTAATTGGATTATAGGATGCCTAATTGGTGTCCACTGAGGAAGTCCTTTGTGTGTGAGGGAAAATCCTCCTACATATGGTATCAGTTTTCTATGTTGTGTTGAGTGTGTAAAAATAGGAAAAACAATTTGTTTTCCTAACTCTTACATTAAGCCACGGTGATATTTTGTTATGGCAGGTTTAGCAGACTAAACAGTTGGTATACAGTAAATATTCAGATTCTGTCAGTTCTTTTTATTAATTATAATATCATTTTCCAAGCCCATGAGGGGTACACCTCCTCTCCTGCTACATTCTCAAGATTGAAAGACTAATCCATCCTTCACACTTACCCTCAGGTATCATTTCATAATCTATTTTCTGCAGATATCTTCAGTCTCGTCTTTTATTTCTTTAAACGGTCAGCATAGTGTTCTTAGACTCTGCATTTGGTAATCCCTACATCTAAAGTCTCTGAGGGCCTGCCTTTTGCTCATGGAGACTAATTTGGGGGTGGGAGGCTTGATTGTCTGTTTGCTGGGCATTGTGATTGAAATTGAAATGTTTTGAAGATACTCTCCTCCAGAAAGACTTAGTACTCATGTCTGGGGCTGTTATAAGTCCGGACAATTGTAAACCAAATTCAAGTCTTGAGTTTCTCTGGATATTCCAGTAGATTCAACTGGACTGTGATTCTACATAGGCTCTTCCATTTCCAGGTCATCCACAGTTTGAAAGAATAGCTCCCATTTATTGCAGGGAGGATTCTTTGGAGCTCCCCGCCAAACCTTTGTTCCAGACCTTGGTTGATTTATCTTCCTTGTTACTCCATAAAGATTCCACATTCGACTCCTATACTTAAAATGGGAAAATGCTGTTGGCCAAAAACAGCTTTCTTGTTAGAATAACTCTCTAGGTTCTTTTTTTTCCTTCAAATGTGACCTAATAATTCTCTAATGTCTTGTCATTTATTCCATACTCTTAAGAATTTATTCCATACTCTTAAGGGAGCCAGACTGGAAAGGAAGGGCAAGCAAGGTGAGAGAAAGTTTAAAAAGCCTAAGAGTGGAAGGGAGAAGGAGTCTAGCTGCTGGCTTGGCATACAGTCAATCAGCTCCATCTAGTTTTCTGTCAGTGGAGCTGTGGTTGTGGGGTAGGCTTTAGGGTCCTTCATGTCTTACTGAAGAAAAATGGCCTTCTAGAGTGAGAAAATCTGCAAACGCACCAAGCCAATCTCATGTTAATATTGACCTGATATGAACTCAATAAATATTTGTGAAATGAATAAAGGAAGCTGAGTATACTTACTTAATGCTCCTCTATTCATCAACATCATTGAAACGATAGTAAAGAAATACGAAGGAAATAACCCCATAGCAGTAAGTAAAATGGGAAGTGGCTGATTAGTTAACCAGAGTTTTCAATGAATTTCTGGAAGTTGGAATATGTATGGTAGTTTATTGACAAAATAACATAAAACATGAGCTTCTGGCCAGGTGAAGTGGCTCACGCCTGTAATCCCAGCACTTTGGGAGGCCAAGGTGGGTGGATCACTTGAGGTCAGGAGTTCGAGACCTGCCTGCCAACATGGAGACACTCCGTCTCTATTAAAAATACAAAAATTAGCCAGGCGTGGTGGCAGTTGCCTCTAATCCCAGCTCCTTGGGAGGCTGAGGCAGGAGAATCACTTGAACCCAGGAGGTGGAGGTTGCAGTGAGCTAAGATCATGCCAGTGCACTCCAGCCTGGGCAACAGAATGAGACTCTGTCTCAAAAACAACAAAAACAACAAAAAATTATATCCTAGAACAAAGTCTCAGCATTCCCATTCTGACTTTTTGTTGCTTCTCCACACTGTCCTCTCTCTTTTTCTTTCTTTTTCTTTTTCTTTCTTTCCTTCCTTCCTTTCTTTTTCTTTCTTTCTTTTTTTTTTTTTTTTTGACAGAATCTCGCCCTGTTGCCCAGGAGCACAATCTCGGCTCACTGCAACCTCTGCCTCCCAGGTTCAAGCAATTCTCCTGCCTCAGCCTCCCAAGTAGCTGGGATTACAGGCACCTGCCACCACGCCTGGCTAACTTTGTTTCTTTAGTAGAGACGGGGTTTCACCATGTTTGCCAGGCTGGTCTCAAACTCCTGACATCCACCCGCCTTGGCCTCCCAAAGTGCTAGAACTACAGGAGTGAGCCACTGCGCCCAGCCTGTCCTCTTGCTTTCTACCTAAAAAGACCAAGTAAATAAAGTTGGCCAAGAAATACCCCTCACTCATCTACACACATACTGCTGCTAGCTAGGGAAGAGACTTGCTGGAGAAACAACACACAGCTGGAGAAACTCATGCCAGCATTGATACTGACTAGCCTATCTTTTATTTTGTAAGTATAAATGGACAAATATATATATCCCCAGAAATAGGAAGAAAATTAACAATTTTAATGTAAAAGACCAGGATGAACAAACCAAAAATGGGCATAAACAGAGCCAATTTGAGAAAGAGAACTTACAACATTGATAACACAAATTCTTATTAGTATCCTCTGAAGAGTTAGAAGTCATATTGTATCCACATTACTATGCTAGATACTCTGCTCGAAAAAACCTATGCTAAAAACTATGAAAAATGAACCATTAGGAAACACAAAAAAGCTTTTAGAAACCAAAAACAAATGTTAAAAAAAAAATCAATAGAGCTAGGTGTGGTGGCCCACGCCTGCAATCCTAGCACTTTGGGAGGCTGAGGCAGGAGGATCATTTGGGGTCAGGAGTTCGAGAGCAGCCTGGCCGACATGGTGAAAACCTGTCTCTACTAAAAATACAAAAATTAGTCGGGCGTGGTGGCTGAGACAGGAGAATCGCTTGAACCCAGGAGGCGGAGGTTGCAGTGAGCCGAGATCATTCCACTGCATTCCAGCCTGGGCAACAGAGTGAGACACCGTGTCAAAAAACAAACAAACAAAAAATCAATAGAAGTGCTGCAAGGAAGTCTCCAGAATGAAGAGCAAAAATGAAGATGGGAAGCATGAAAGAAAAGGTGATATATAGAGGCTTAATCTAGGAACTCCAACACTTGATCTAAGGTGTATTTCAGAAAAAAAGAATTGAAGAAATAGAAGAGAGGGAATTATTAAAGGAAGAAAATTCTTAGGACTGAAAACAAATAAGTTTTTAAACTAAAAATACCTATAAAGAGTCAAGTAGGCTATATGAAAACTAAAATAAAATATTACGTTCCCACATCTTCATTATATTTCAGATTACCAAGGAAAAAGATAAAATTGTAAAAGCTTCCAGAAAGAAAATCCAGGTTCACTTACAGAGTAAGGAGTATCCAACTGTCAATTTCTAAATAGCGACACTGGATATGAGAAGATAATGATGAAAAGTGTTTATAAACTTCTCAAATAAGTGATTTTGGACTTCATATTTTATGCCCAAATTATCAGACAATTGTTGAGTACAAATACATTTTTAGACATGCAAGAATTCAGAAAGTTGATCTCCCAATCATCTTTTTTGAGGATACTATTTGAATATATAGTTTAGCAGAACAATGAATAAATGTGAAAAAGAGGAAAGTATGGAAACAATGAAGCTAAGCCAGGGGAAAATTAGGACAAAGTTTGTCCAGATGGAAGCAGGAAATTAGAGGGATCCTGGAACAGTCCTGCAACAGATAGTAATTTCTACAGGCTGGATAATCTTCACATAGAGTAAAGGGTTTCTTTTGTCAGCGAGGCGAAAGAAAAGCAATCAGAAGTACCACTAAGCAATAAAGGTTTTATAAGAAATGGTGGTTTACGGAGTGATTGCTATTCCCCCTTTGCCCTTCTGTCACCTGTCCCTTGCATGTGGCTCTTTGAAGCTTCTCAACTTTCTCCTGGGACGCTTCATGAATAACTTGTAATAGAAATGTTACTGAAAAGCTGCCTAAACAAAAAATCGTATAAAGTAGGAACTTGTATAAACAACTAATACTGTTGTAAATAAAAAAAACTGATGAGTTAAATATAAGGCAAACTAAAATATGGAATGATTGAATAGGCAATTGAATGTAAGAAGAGGAAATATTTTATCTTGATGTTTGGAACATTATTTTTTGATTGGTACAGGGAAAAAATGTTGGACTTACAGCAAAGTATAACCTTATTCTGCTTTACTCTGTAGTAAACAATATTAACGTCATAAAAATGTAAATGCTATCTTTTGAGGGGCTTTCAAGTTTCAAAACTTTTCTACACAAAACAAAGAAATCTTAATTTTTGTCACAGAACTGAATAAATGACTGAATTAAATGATTTCATTTAGTTACATTAATTACTTACTTCTTATCAATTGGGAGGTGCAAGGTCAGGAGGAGAGATGAAGGATAATGCAAGAGTAGCTTACAAAACAGGGAGCCAATATGTTCTAGTTAAACTGAATAAGAGCTTTCTTTGCTGCATCTACTGCGAAAATGAAAAATGTCGACACTACTCTGAAGGGACGCACAGTTATTGTGAAGGGCCCCAGAGGAACCCTGCGGAGGGACTTCAATCACATCAGTAGAACTCAGTCTTCTTGGAAAGAAAAAAAAGAGGCTCCAAGTTGACAAACGGTGGGGGAACAGAAAGAAACTGGCTACCGTTCGGACTATCTGTAGTCATGTACAGAACATGATCAAGGGTGTTACACTAGGCTTCCATTACAAGATGAGATCTGTGTATGCTCACTTCCCCATCAACGTCGTTATCCAGGAGAATGGGTCTCTTGTTGAAATCCGAAATTTCTTGGGTAAAAAATACATCCGCAGGGTTTGGATGAGAGCAGGTGTTGTTTGTTCAGTATCTCAAGCCCAGAAAGATGAATTAATCCTTGAAGGAAATGACATTGAGCTTGTTTCAAATTCAGCGGCTTTGATTCAACAAGCCACAACAGTTAAAAAGAAGGATATCAGGGAATTTTTGGATGGTATCTATGTCTCTGAAAAAGGAACTGGTCAGCAGGCTGATGAATAAGATCTAAGAGTTATCCAGCTACAGAAAGAAGATGCCAGATGACTCCTACTTGTGATATTTAAATGATGCAATAAAAGACCTATTGATTTGGGAAAAAAAAATAAACTGAGTAAGATACTAATGTTTAAGAATATGTGAATTTATCAATGTAGCCATTAAAAGAAAAGCAAGAGTAGTGACTGTAATTACTTACACAGTATTTACTATGTGCCAGGCACAGTTCTAAGCATTTTACATACATTAAGTCATTTAATCCTCACAATAATCACTCTAAGTATTCAAAGACTTTTGTCCACTTGAGAGACAGTAAAACTGAGTCACCGGGTGCAGTGGCTCACGCCTGTAATCCCAGCACTTGGGAGGCCGAGGCGGGCGGATCACCTGAGGTCGGGAGTTTGAGACCAGGCTGGCTAACATGGAGAAACCCTGTCTCTACTAAAAATACAAAATTAGCCAGACATGGTGGTGCATGCCTGTAATCCCAGCTACTCGGGAGGCTGAGACAGGAGAATCGCTTGAACACAGGAGGCGGAGGTTGCGGTGAGCCGAGATCGCGCCATTGCACTCCAGCCTGGGCAACAAGAGTGAAACTCCGTCTCAAAAACAAAAACAAAAACAGAAAACAAAAAACAAAAAAAACTGAGTCACAGAGGGTTAAGTAACTTGCCCAAATTTACGTACCTAGTAATGGCGGCTCACAAATGGAAATAAAATAACGATTTAGTTAAGAGGTATGGATGGGAAAATTGATAAGTATGAAAAATGATTTGTATTAGGAAGCAATATATATTATATATTATCCCAAGTTGATAAATCTACAGTAATAAGCTATTTAAAGCTGTGGAGTTACAACTGTAATTACTAGAAGAACTAGAGGCTGGGCAGCAGAGTACTTTATATTTTACTTTCCATTTTAAGCCATTTTACATAGTTATTTAATAAGTGTATATATTTTTTTAAAGTTTTAACTCTTTTTTTTATTAGAAAAAAAATTTTAGGCTGGGAGCGGTGGCTCACGCCTGTAATCCTGGCACTTTGGGAGGCTGAGGTGGGTGGATCACCTGAGGTCGGGAGTTCGAGACCAGCCTGACCAACGTAGAGAAACCCTCATCTCTACTAAAAATAAAACATTAGCCGGCCGTGGTGGGGCATGGCTGTAATCCCAGCTACTCGGGAGGCTGAGGCAGAAGAATCACTTGAACCCAGGAGGCGGAGGTGGTGGTGAGCTGAGATCACGCTGCTGCGCTCCAGCCTGGGCAACAAGAGTGAAATTCCGTCTCAAAAAAAAAAAAAAATTAAACTGGGCCGGGTGTGGTGACTCATGTCTATAATCTCAACACTTTGGCAGGCTGAGGTGGAAGGATCACTTGAGCCCAGGAGTTCAAGACCAGTCTGGGAAACATGGCGAAAACCCAGCTCTGAAAAAATTAAAAACTTAGTCAAGCATGGTGGCATGCACCTTTGGTCCCACTTATTCAAGGAGTGTCACTTGAGCCCACGAGGATGAGGCTGCAATGAGCCATGATCACACCACTGCACTCCCACTCCCACCTGGGTGACAGAATGAAAATTACAATTAAAATTAAACTGATCACCTCCTTCCAAACATCTTACTCACTCACACATAATGAAACATCTCTCAAGATAGCTTCCTCTTGATTTTAGATATTAGTACATTCATACTTGGGGAGATTGCAGATAATACTACCAAAATACAAAAAGTGTCTTCAGCTCATTTTGGTTAAAAGTGCCTCATCTGCCATGTGTCTGTATACAATTCATTTGGTGTTCATAAAAGGTGACATTAGAAACATCTTACAAAGCTGTTAAAATGTTTGTGTCATCTTAGCACAATGCTTACTAAAGTAATGTAGTGAAGAAAAATCCCATGGCCTGGGAGAGTAAAGATGATGAAAGTGTTACAGTGAGAGCATACAGTAGAAATACTGAAGAGTTAATGATGCCAAATTAAAGAGCAACCAAAAGCAGAGTCATCATGGGATTATAGAAAGGAAGAGAATGTTAATTTATTCATTCTCTTATTTAACCAATATTTATTGGGCATCTATGTGTTCTTAATGTATATCACATGTTAAATGCTGAGCTTATAAAAAAATTGGACATGCAACTTGCTCTTAGTTTACAGTTTAGCAGATAATACAAAGGGTGCATATAAATACCTTTAGTATATGATAGAAATTTATAAGTAACATCATGTGATAAAAATGTGATATGGTAACAAAAGTAAGGGAGAAACGCTCCAGGGAAATTATAAAAAATTGAGCAATTTTTAATTGTATCATGTTCTCAGTGACAGGCGGATGCAAACTAAGTTGTAGGCCCGTCACTGGGGTTGATAAATATAGGTCAGAAGATAAGGAAACATCATGTGATGTTGCTACTGAACTAATCGTATGTAAAAGTAGCCATATATTTTTGTTAAGAGAACTACCTTTACCAATTCTTTCTGGAATAGGACAGTTACCCATACCTCTGCTGGGCACTCAGCCTACCCGATGCCAGAATAATACAAGGAGAATATGATAGAGGAAAAAAATACAATATCTTTTAGCAAAATTGCACACTAGATTCAATGTTCAGTATTAGAAGGTTTGTGTGGTTTGGTGATTTTGACTCTTGAGACTGAACCAGGTGGCTGATTTTTCAACTTCTGCATTGTGGGCAGGGTCTGAGAGGCTGCAGTACTCCCCCAGTGCCCCTCCCTTATCTCTCCATTCCCACCAACACACACACACACACACACACACGCACGCGCGCGCGCGCGCGCGCACACACACACACACACACACACACACATCCTTGTCCCTCTGTAGCTTGGGTTCCTTGTTAATCAGATACAGAGAGAGCCTGAGCCAGAGAGTGAAGAGAAAAAGGTGGGATGGTAAGGACAGGGAGGGGAGAGAAACTGGATGGCAGCCAGCTCATAAAGGTTCATTGGACAAAGCACAGCAGGACAATGTGGAATACAAGGTTGCAACTTTTTCTGGTATCTATAAGAAGCTCATTGGAAAGGATGTTAATTTTGAATTCCCAGAGTTTCAGTTGTAAACAAAAATAACTAAAGTATATTTATAGTAAAAAAAAAAAAGACTCATCTTTAACACATTTAAACATTGAATTCAATCAGATCTAGTACTAGTTTTAGTGGACATGAAAAGATTTTGGGAAGTGTGCATTTAATAGGAAAATGCTGAGTGGAACCCAAATGTTCATCAGTCTTATGTCTTAGAAATTCAAACACAGATGAGGTATGTTAAAATGATCTGCCCCTGTTCACCCAGAGTTTCCAAAATATTGACATCAGAAGTGTGTTCTCCTGAACTTTCTCTGGAGGTTGGGCTCTAGGTCTATGGTTCCCATAGCAGTGAAAAACACATTCATCACTTTTTATTGTGAAGGGTTAACTATATCTCTCACTAGACAATGAGTTCCAACAGCATTAGATTCATGTCTTATTCATTTTTCTAGTAGTGTTACTTTGTTTTATATAGACTGCTTTTCTTTCTTTTCCCCTTTTCTTCTTTTTCAATAAATGTAATAAAATGTTCCCCCAAATGCCAAAAAATACTAAGGAAGAATCCCTTCACTAAAATAAGCCTTCATTTTGTTATTCATTATGTCATGGTTTTCATTCATTGTGAGTCTGTTTAATTTTAAGTAGAAGCTTGTAAGACCAAATTTTTATAAATTAATGTAAGATGACTAATAAATACTCTAACAGAGTACAACAGCAAATAGCTGCTCAAATTCCAACGAAGGTGATTCTTTACCTAGTTCTCCTTACATTTTTTATTCTAGAATTGAATTTAGTGATAGCACAGAGAAAATTCACAGTTTTAAAAAGTAATGAACTACCTATACAATAGGACAAAAGATTTACTAAGCTGAAGTCATTTTATGCTTCATGCGCTTAACCCTAATATTTTGGGCAGAGAACTTTTTATGAGTCCAAAATAAGTAAGCATTCACAACAGCTTTTTAAAATTGTATTTGAAAATAGTGCATCATGAAAGTAGAAACCTTTAAACAACATTTGCAAAAAATGTTAAGTCAGCAAAATTGTGTTCATGTGTTGGGTTTTTATTTGTTTCTGAAGACAAACACAATATATGAACCACTCTCCTGATTACAATGTGAGTACAACATTTATTTCCATAAAAATATATTTACTTTTATACTAAATTTATATATACATGATTTATATATACAATACACATATATAAATACACATATATTTATATTACATTTTATATATACGTATGTGTGTATTTTTGTATATATGCATACATATAAAATACTTGAACCTCAGAAAATGCTTACTTTGGCCTCTGTTGAAAGCACTCAATAAAGAGAAAATTTGTTCTATATTCAGATTCTATGACCTGGCTTCCTTATCAGTGGAAACATTGGCAAATATTAGCTTTACTTAGGATCAGATTTATTTCTGTTGTATATGCACATAGTTGTAATTGATTGCTTTCTATGTTAACTTCCTAAGAAACCAAGGGTTATTTTAAAGAAGCATTGTGGGTAATACTGAAATCCAGCGAACAAGAACAGGCAGGAGACATGATTGAACATTCTTTACAGAGGGAAAAAAAAGGCATTCAGAACTCATAATGTGCTCTAGAGTAATTAGCTTCTGCTTAGTAGTCATAACATTACAAGAAACCAAATGTCAGGTTTAAAAATGATTAATGTGTAAATGAACTGTTGTGCTACCTGCTGCTAAGATCTCAACAATCAAAGTAGTTTTAGCACTATCTTGGAACAAAAACCATCATTTCTAGGGCAGAGGTTTGCTTTTTTTTAATATATTTTTTGAGATGGACTCTTGCTCTGTCACCCAGGCTGGAGTGCAGTGGCACAATCTCGGCTCATTGCAACCTCTGCCTCCAGGGTTCAAGCTATTCTCCTGCCTCAGCCTCCTGAGTAGCTGAGTACAGACATGCGCCACCATGCCTGGCTAATTTTTGTATGTTTAGTAGAGATGTGGTTTCACCATGTTGGTCAGGCTGGTCTCGAACTCCTGACCTCGTGACCCGCCAGCCTCTGCCTCCCAAAGTGCTGGGATTACAGGCATGAGCCACCGTGCCCGGCTGGGGTTTACTTTTTCTCCTCATAAAAATGCTGATGTTTTATATGATTAGGATGAATCAAGTCAAAAGTGAAAATAGGCCAGGCGCGGTGGCTCACATCTGTAATCCCAGCACTTTGGGAGGCTGAGGCAAGAGGATCACTTGAGGTCAGGAGTTTGAGATCAGCCTGGCCAACATGGCAAAACCCCATCTCTACTAAAAGTATAAAAATTAGCCAGGGCATGGTGGCACGCACCAGTAGTTACAGCTACTCGGGAGGCTGAAGCATGAGAATTGCTTGAACCTGGGAGGCAGAGGTTGCAGTGAGCTGAAATTGTGCCGCTGCACTCCAGCCTGGGCGACAGAGGGAGACTCTGTCTCAAAAAAAAAAAAAAAAAAGAGAAAAAAAGAAAAGAAAAAGAAAAGAAAAAGTTGAAGTACGTTTCTATTACAACTTCAGTTTTGGTTTTTTTATAACTTATATTGCTGTATAAAAGTTAACATATAAGGTAAGGAAAACTTAGTGCATTATGGCTATTAACTTATTTTATTTTGTCTAGTTTTTAACTTTATTTTTAATGTTTTTGGGTACATAGTAGGTATATATATTTATGGGATATATTAGATGTTTTGATATAGGCATGCAATGTGTAATAATCACATCATGGAAAATGGATATCCATCTCCTCAAGCATTTATCCTTTGTGTTACAAATAATCCAATTAGACCCTTTTAGTTATTTTTAAATGTACAATTAAATTATTATGGACTATAGTCACCCTGTTGTGCTATCAAATACTAGGCCTTATTCATTCTTTCTAACTATTTTTTGTATCCATTAACTATCCCCACCTCCCTCTCACTCTCCCATTACCCTTCCCAGCTTCTGGTAGCCATCCTTCTACTGTCTATCTCCAAGGGTTCAATTGTTTTGATTTTTAGATCCCACAAACAAGTAGAACATGCAATGTTTGTCTTTCTGTGCCTAGCTTATTTAACTTAACATAATGACCCCCAGTTCCATCCATGTTATTGCAAATGACTGAATCTCATTATTTTTTATGGCTAAATAGTACTCCATTGTATATAAGTATGACATTTTCTTTATTCATTTATCTGTTGATGAACACTCACATTGCTTCCAAATCTTAGCTATTGTGAACAGTGCTGCAATAAACATGGGAGTGCAGATATCTCTGCAACATACTTATTCTCTTTCTTTGGAGTATATATGCACCAGTGGGATTGCTGTACAGTACTTCTATTTTTAGTTTTTTGAGGAAGCTCCAAATTGTTCTCCATAGTGGTTACCCTAATTTACATTCCCATCAACAGTATGAAAGTTCCCTTTTTTCTTAGCTTATATCCAAAAGACAGGCAATAACTGGGGGTGAGATTAGTTATGAGGGTGAGATGACATCTCATTGTAGTTTCGATTTGCACTTCTCTGATGATCAATGATGTTGAGCATCTTGTCTTATGTCTTCTATTGAAAAAATGTCTATTCAAACCTTTTGCCCATTTTTAATTGGATTATAGAGTTGTTTGAGCCCCTTTATGGCTATTAACTTTAAAACAATAAATAGCTAATGTTTAATTTATGCTTATTATTCAGGTTCTTTTCAGTATCGTTAGGATAACTTTGTGGGTATTGGCTTCAAAATTACATCTAGTAGGCCGGGCACAGTGGCTCATGCCTGTAATCCCAGCACTTTGGGAGGCTGAAGCAGGCAGATCACCTGAGGTCGGGAGCTCAAGACCAGCCTGGCCAAAATGGCGAGACCCCATCTCTACTAAAAATACAAAAATTAGCCTGGCATGGTGGCAGGGGCCTGTAATCCCAGATACTCGGTAGGCTGATGCAGGAGAATCGCTTGAACCTGGGCGGCAAAGGTTGCAGTGAGCCGAGATCACACCACTGCACTCCAGCCTGGGTGACAGAGCGAGACTATGACTAAAAAAATAAAATAAATACTTTTTTTAAAAAAAAGAATAAATAAATTTTTTAAAATTTTAGAAAAAAGCTTAGTTCAGCCTGTAAAAATACAAATAATATGATTATGGACAAATAACCACTGAGCCACTAACCAATTTAATTTCTTCTCATATATGGTCAGAATGGAAGCTAACTTTCCTTCACAAGCGAGAAGTCATTGTATGCCATAATACTCAAAAAGAATGAAAACCACAAAGCAAAACTTTCCAGAGGATCATGAGAATCAGAGATCTTTTCGAAGACTTTATAAATTCTTGGCATTGGATCATACTTTGGCTTTGTTCAAGAGTCATTGTCTTTTGGAAGAAGTTTTCTGATCTCCCGGCTCATAAGCATTCAGGACACAGCAGGGGCCAAGTAAGGAAATTGTGGAGATTTTATACAAACTGGCACAAAGGATTCAGGTGACTCTGAAAGGTGGAGCAGTTGGTGTTCTGGGCAATGTTGCTGGGTGTTGGTGGCAACACATTTATGTGAAATGAGTGGCCTGATTAGGGAAACAGAAGCAGTGTGATAGGCAAGGCTTGGCTTCTAAGAGTCATGGAAGGGTTTGTTACTTTCAAGAGTGGTATAATACATGCCGCTATTAATACTAACAGTACATTTTACTTGACAGCAAAGCGGCCAATCAACCCAGAACACCAATTGCTAATGGTGATGGGTCTAGGTAGAGTTAATGGGGCCTCAGACCTTTCAGAACTCATCGTTCTTTCAGAACCTAGGTTTGGTCAATGGCTCTTTAGTCAAACCAAGGAAGGTTGTGTCCCAAGTCCAGCTTGACTTAGAGGTTGGGAAAATCCTTGAAAATGTTGAATGCTTGTTGCAACCATCCTTGCAGCCAAACATGGAATGAAGGTCAGGCATTTCTTTTCATGGCACCATAGCATCACACTATTATTTTCTAACTCTCTGTCTCTTCCAACAGACTATAAATTATTTGAGTCAAGAAAACTTACATATTTTTGTATCTAAAGTGGCTTGCACAATATCTGAGACAGAATAAATATTTTTACAATGAATGAATGGATTAAGCAGCTAAGGACTAAATCAGAAGGGAAATCTAAAGCTGGAATGTTAGTCTATCAGAAGAGAGAGGTTCCAGGCGGAACACGGTGGCTCACACCTGTAATGCCAGTGCTTTGGGAGGCTGAGGTGGGAGCATTGTTGAGACCAGGTATTAAAGATAAGCCTGGACAACATAGCAAGACCCCTGTCTCTACAAAAAATTTAGAAATTAGCCATGTGTGGTAACACAAGCCTGTAGTCCCGGCTACTTGGGAGGCTGAGGCAGGATGACCACTTGAGGCCAGAAGTTAGAGATTGGTGCACTATGATTGCACCACTGCACTGAAGCCTAGGTGACAGAGCAAGACCTTGTCTCAAAAAAGAGAGAGAGAGAGAGAAGTGATGGAGCCTGAGTTGTTACTGTAGCTACCACTGAAGTTTGCCAATATGCCAATCACCACGTTAAACATTTTTCATGTATCATATAATCCTCACACAACCTTTTGAGGTAAGTACCATCATAAGTATCATGGTACAGATAAGTATATGATACAGATAAGGAAAATAAATAAAAGAAAATTACAGAAAATCCCCCAACAAAACGTGGCCCTGAGTCTCACAACTAGTAGGAATTGGACACCATAGCTTAAGAGTTTTTTTTAATTAATTAATTTATTTTTTATAGCAGTTTTAGGTTTGTGGAAAATTAAGCCGATAGTAAGAGAACTCCCATATAACTCCTTACTCTTTAGCTTATAGTTTCCCTTATAATTAAAATCTTGCATTAATGGGTGTGTTATAATTAATAAACCAATAACAATATATTATTATTAACTAAAGTCCATAGTTTATGGTCCTTATTTTGTGTTGTACAGTTATATGGGCATCGACAAATACATACATAGCTTAAAATTGTAACCCCATATCACAATAAAAAGATACTCTGGAATCATTAAAAAGATGTTTGAATGAATTCTGAGATCTCATCATGAAGATGGCAACTCTTCCAAATTAATCTATGACGTTAGTGCAATTCCTGTCATACATCCAAAGGATCTTCATTAAATTTGAAAAACCCATGCAAAACTCAAATGGAAAAGGCCAAGAAGAGCCAGGACAATTTTGAAGAATAGGAAGCATTATCTTTACCAGATATCAAGCTTATAATAAATCTATAATAATTAAAACACGCTCTTTTTACAATTAAACAGATCATCAAATAGACCATTAAAACGAAATACAAGTCTAGAAACAGACCCATGCATATATGGATTTTTTTATTTAAGGCAGAATTTTTATCTATTTATAAATCAGTTGGGAAATGGTAAACTATTCAATAAATGACGCTGGAACAAATGATTCTCCATATGGGGTAAGAAGGAAAATTTTGCCACCCACCAAAAAATTAAGGTAAAATAGACACTAAACATGAAAAACAAAACTATAAAACATAAGAAAACACAGGAAAATGTCTTCATTATACCTGGGCCAGGACAGATTTCTTTAATAAGGCACAAAGACCACAACTCATAAAGGAAAACTGATAAATTTGCATATAATAACATTTTTGCATATAATAACATTTGAAATTTTGTATGACAAAAGACACCATAAACAAAGTAAAAGGACATGCACAAATTGGAAGAATTTTGCAATTCATATAGCAAAATACCTATAATAGAATTTACGAAGAACTGCCACTAGATAAATAAGGCAAAGCAAAAAGGAAAAACAAAGCAATTGATTTAAACAGGAGAGGAAAAAACGGATGGCAAAGAAAAATATGTAAAGATGTTCAACCTTGCTATGAATCAGAGGAATACAAATGAAAGGCACAATGCTAGGCTCTTTTATACCTACTGGCTTGAGAAAAATTGAAAATTCATATTATGTGTTGGTAAAAGTGTAGAGAAATAGAAATTCTTGTACACTGCTAGAAATATAAGTGACTCTCAATACTTTGGACAGTGAGGCAGAGACTGCTTATTTTTTATCAAATTCATTTTCTTCTTTTTCTAGGGCGCGCAGCTAGACTGTCTTTCCCAGGTTCCCTTGCAGTTGGGTGTGGTTATCTAACAGAATGTTACCAGTGGAATGGGATTAAAAATGATGTGTTTCTCCATGTCCTTTCCCCCTTCTGACTGCCTGGAATGGCCATGCCAAAGGAAACTTGAAAGTCACATGTTAAAAATGGCAGCATCCCTTACAGCCTGGTTACCTGAATAGCTGTGTAGAGCAGAGTACCCCTCCCCTCAACCCATTCTACAAGTTACCTGGTGTTCATTCAACTCACTATGAGGGTCTCAGCACATGCTGCTCTAGGTTTTTAGGTGAATGAGAAATAGACTGTTATTGTATTTGCTGCATTATTTTGGGGTGGGGGAGGGTCTGTCTGATGCTGAATCTGAGCTCACTACAGAGATGCATTTGGCAATATACAAGATCTATACCTGTGGCTAGCAATTCTGTTTTTACCTACATTCCCTAGAGAAACTAATAGTTACATGAAGAGGGAGACATGTATAAGAATGTTCATTGGCCGGGCGCGGTGGCTCACGCCTGTAATCCCAGCACTTTGGGAGGCCGAGGCAGGCGGATCACAAGGTCAGGAGTTCGAGACCAGCCTGGCCAATATGGTGAAACTCCGTATCTACTAAAAATACAAAAATTAGCCGGGTGTAGTGGCGGGCTCCTGTAGTCCCGGCTACTCTGGAGGCTGAGGCAGGAGAATTGGTTGAACCCGAGAGGCGAAGGTTGCAGTGAGCCAAGGTCGTGCCATTGCACTCCAGCCTGGGCGACAGAGCGAGACTCCGTCTCAAAAAAAAAAAGTTCATTGCGGTACTAACGGTAATAGAGGAAAACGGGAGTAAAACTAACTACCTTCATACAGGAAAGGATAAATTGTGACTTGTTTATAAAATGTAATACCATAGACCAGTACTTATTAGCAATTTAGACACACACTTATTAACATGGATAACATTAAAAAGCAAATTATGGCCAGGTGCAGTGGCTCACACCTGTAATGCCAGCACTTTGGGAGGCCGAGATGAGTGGATCACTTGAAGCCAGAAGTTCAAAACCAGCCTGAGCAACATGGCGAAACACTGAATCTACGAAAAATACAAAAATTAGCCAGGTCTGATGGTGCACGCCCATAATCCCAGCTACTCGGAGGCTGAGTCAGGAGAATCGCTTGAACCTGGGAGACACAGGTTGCAGTGAGCCGAGATGGCACCACTGCACTCCAGCCTGGGCAACAGAGCGAGACTCCGTCTTAAAAAAAAAAAAGCAAATTGCAAAATAACTATAATATGCCATCTAAGTAAATATTTAAACATCAGCATATGGGGAACACTTATAAACAGTACGAAAATGAGAATTATAATGAAAATCACTAATTCAGTATAGGAATTCTGGGTCGGTCATGTATGATTGTGTTGTGGGCACCATTCATGTAAACTACAGTGTTTATGCAGTATTCAGTCTTCTATGATAGACATAGGAAGGAAAGGTAGAAAGATGGGCATGATTTTTTAATCATGTATTTATTTATTTTTGAGACAGTCTCACTCTGTCGCCCAGGCTGTAGTGCAGTGGCGTGATCTCAGCTCACTACAACCTCCGCCTCCCGGGTTCAAGCGATTCTCCTGGCTCAGCCTCCCCAGTAGCTGGGATTACAGGCACCTGCGACCATTACAGGCACGCGCCACCATGCCCAGCTAATTTTTGTATTTTTAGTAGAGACGGGGTTTCACCATGTTGGTCAGGCTGGTCTCGAACTCCTGACCTTGTGATCTGCCTACCTCAGCCTCCCAAAGTGCTGGGATTATAAGCATGAGCCACCACACCCGGCCATTTTAATAATATTTTAACTTTAATTGTATCTGTAATTTATTTTAAATGACAAAGAGAAAGAGAAAGAGAAGAATCTGATATTGTCAAATGTTGACTTTTGTTTAATCTTGTAGTTCATTAGTAGATGCCTTTTTTTTTTTTTTTTTTTTTTTTTTTGAGACAGAGTCTTGCTCTGTTGCCCAGGCTGGAGTGCAGTGGTGCGATCTCGGCTCACTGCAACCTCTGCCTCCCAAGTTCAAGCGATTTGCCTGCCTCAGCCTCCTGAGTAGCTGGGACTACAGGCACGTACCACCACACCCAGCTAATTTTTCTATTTTTAGTAGAGACAGGGTTTCACCATATTGGCCAGGCTGGTCTTGAACTCCTGACCTCGTGATCCACCCACCTCAGCCTCCCAAATTACTGGGATTGCAGGCGTGAGCCACTGTGCCTAGCCCTTTTTATTTTCGTACTTTTTGCTACGTGAATAGTGTTTCATAATGTACCCTTTTTATTTTCATACTTTTTGCTACGTGAATAGTGTTTCATAATGTAAAAAGATAAAAAGAAAAGTAACTAAAGAAGGTCCCAAGGGCAATTCTTTTTATTATTTCACTATTTTATTATTCTTTTTATTATTTCACTTTATTTTTTTCGTGATTGAAAAGTAACGGCCAGGCGCAGTGGCTCAGGCCTGTAATCCCAGCAGTTTGGGAGGCCGAGGTGGGTGAATCACCTAAGGTCAAGAATTCGAGACCAGCCTGGCCAACACGGTGAAACCCTGTGCCTAATAAAAATATAAAAATTTACTGGGCGTGGTTGCACACACCTGTAATCCCAGCTACTTGGGAGGCTGAGGCACGAGAATCACTTGAACCTGAGAGGTGGAGGTTGCAGTGAACCGAGATCATGCCACTGCACCCCAGCCTGGGTGATAGAGTGAGACTCCATCTCAGAAAACAACAACAACAAAAGAAAATTAATAAATGCTTTATTATAGAAAAATTTGAAGAGCACAAAACACAAAAAAAGACTAAAGGAAATAAGTCACTCATATTCCCATTCTAGAAGTTCTTATATTTCTGAAAGTGTAGCAAGATTCCAAAGCCACTGGAAAAAGTGAAAATTATAATAAAATCTAGTATATGCATCAATATTTTGATGCTTATTTAACTGTAATATTCTACTGATATATTGTGGTTTGCCTATAGTATATGGCCCATAAAATTGGTATATTAGATAGGCAATAAAGTGACTGCTATGGTTTGCAGGGACCTTTATCAAAATAAAACTCATTAATTCCAGTTATTTTCAAATAGGAATAGAGAGGGGATTGGTGGGAGTTTACAGACATGGGCATGGCTATTGTTGGTTGGATGTGGAGCCTTAGAAAAAACACACTGTCTTTCATTTGTCTTATTACTCACCAGTGGATATTTATAACAATGAAGATGAAATTCGGTTTAAACAGTGCTGAGGACAATTCAGAAGCACTAAAAACAAAATACATGTTAAAGGGTAGGTGCAGTGTGGCAGATTATATTTTCCAAATGTGGCCACAACAGTATCTTTTATCTCACCTCTCTTCTTACCATACATTTTCTTTCTTCCCATTGAGAGATGGGGTGTAGGTTATGACTTCTCCTCTCCAACCTGGGCAAGTCTTTGTGACTGCCTTGACCAAAAGCATATGGCAGAGGGATGCCATGTGACATCTAAGGATAGGTAATAAATATGCCACATGTTCACCTTGATCTCTAAGGATCACACTGAGGGATGCCACCCACATATAAGCAGCCTAAATATTCTGAGGCTGCCATACTTTGAGGAAGCCTAAAGTAGCTCATATAAAGAGACCCTGAGACTACTTGGAGAGAGATGCTTGACCTGCCCCCAGTTGCTTCAGCCCTTCATTGGTACAGTCAGTGTCTCACTACAATTGCATTAGAAACCCAAGCCAGAACCATCTAACCAAGGCTTTCCTGAATTTCTGACCCACAGAAACCATGAGAGATAAGGAAATGATTGTTGTTTTAAGCCATTAAGTTTTGGAGTGTTTTCTTAATACCACAATACATAAGTGAAACATGTAGAAAAGAGGATAGAAGAGTGAGTATAGTTAAAAATAATTTATTGTGTATTTCAAAATAGCTGCACAAGAAGATTTGAAATGTTCTCAACATAAAGAAATGATAAATGTTTGAGGTGATGGATATCCTGATTACCCTGATTTGATCATTATACATTATATGCATGCATCAAAATATCACATGGACCCTATAAATATGTACAATTATTATGTATCAATTTTTTTAAAACTATAAAACAGGCCATGCAAGGCAGCTCACACCTGTAATCCCAGCACTCTGGGAGGCTGAGGAGGGAGGAACACTTGAGCCCAGGAGTTTGAGACCAGCCTGGGCAACATAGTGAGACCCCATCTCTACAAAAAATAAAAAATTAGCTGGGTGTGGTGGTGTGTGCCTGTAGTCCCATCTACCCAGGAGGCTGAGCCAGGAGGATTGCTTGGGCCCAGGAGATGGAGACTGCAGTGAGCTATGATCTCACCACTGCACTTCAGCCTGGGTGACAGAGATAGATCCTGTCTTAAGGAAAAAAAAAAAAAATTGCTTCTCCTTCTCTGACTTGTCCTCTTTCACTCTCACTCTCCAATGAAAAACAAACAAAAAAGAGTTTGGGATCAGTTGCTAGCCTCCAGATTCTGAAATTTTGTTAGTACCAATTGGAAGCTTCCAGTTTCTTCTTTCCACATACATAGTCCCTTGGGTCTGGTCTCTGGTAGTGTTTTGTACCTCAAGAGGGAACAATTAACGTTAGTTGAACAGATGACTATTCTGCAGCAGCTGAGCATTCTTACCCTGGGTTTTCACCTGGCCAACATGGTGAAATTCCGCCTCTACTAAAATTACAAAAAAAAATTAGCCAGGTGTGGTAGCGGTGCCTGTAATCCCAGCTACTCAGGAGGCTGAGGCAGGAGAATCGCTTCAACCCGGGAGGTGGAGGTTTCGGTGAGCCGAGGTCACGCCACTGCACTCCAGCCTGACAGACAGAGTGAGACTCTGTGTTACAAAAAAAAAAAAAAAAAAAGGCCAGGCATGGTGGCTCATGCCTGTAATCCCAGCACTTTGGGAGGCCGAGGCAGGCGGATCACGAGGTCAAGAGATCGAGACCATCCTGGGCAACATGGTGAAACCCCCGTCTCTACTAAAAATACAAAAATTAGCTGGGCATGGTGGTGGGTGCCTGTAGTCCCAGCTACTCTGGAGGCTGAGGCAGGAGAATCGCTTGAACCCAGGAGGCGGAGGTTGCAATGAGCCAAGATCATACCACTGCACTCCAGCCTGGGCGACAGAGCTCGACAGAGTGAGACTCCGTCTCAAAATGATAGCAATAATAATAACACAATTTTTAAAAATGTTGGGTTTTCATAAAGTGAACCAACATTGGACGCCCTTGTATTCTCTTCATTGTTCTTCCCACAAACAGGAAGTATACTTACTTTGTAAGGCAGTACAGAATACTCTTCCCCTTAGAGCTTTGCCTAAAAGCTTTACTAGTTTCACTTTTTGAGTCATGACGTTTTCTTCTTGGCATAAATGATAATGTGCTGTCTTCAAAATACTAGACTACGTCTCTGAATTTTTTATCCACTGTATAGTTGAAGAACAAGTGTGATTAGTTTTGAGGTATTGCATATCATATAGTCCTAGGAATTACTTCTATATAGTATTATTATCATTCTTCAAATCTTGGAATTACTACCTTTAAAGGAAGAATAGAAAGCAGGATTTCCAAGGAGGAAGGATTAAAAATCAATTGGAAAATAACCAAATCAAACGTTAAAAAAAAAATTAAAACATTCATTTAACTAAAATTAGTGCAATAAATAACTGGGTAAATTTCCAAGAGTATTTGTCTAATAAAATCCATTATTACTCTTGTTTGTAAATCAAAAAACCCCAGTTTAGGGAACTAGTTTGGGCAAAAAATGGGGATTTGTTGGCTCATTTAAACAAACCCTGGCTGAGCACGGTGGCTCACGCCTGTAATCCCAGCACTTTGGGAGGCCGAGGAGGGCAGATCACCAGAGGTCGGGAGTTCAAGACTAGCTTGACCAACATGGTGAAACCCTGTCTCTACTAAAAATACAAAAATTAGCTGAGCGTTGTGGCATGTGCCTGTAATCCCAGCTACTCAGGAGGCTGAGACAGGATAATTGCTTGAACCCGGGAGGCGGAGGTGGCAGTGAGCCGAGATGTCACCATTGTACTCCAGCCTGGGCAACAGAGTGAGACACTGTCTCAAAAACCAAACCAAATAAAACCAAAAAACCCTATTAAGATCAGCAGTACAGTTAGCATCAAAGGTATCTGGAACCAGGAACTCAAACGTATTGCAGTCTTTCTCCCTTGTACCGTCTCTCCCCGCTTTTTTCTCTCTTTCCCCGTTTTTTGGTTTGCTTCTCTCTACTTTTTAACCTCAACACATTTAAAAGTAGAAGTTTCCTGTTTTTAATTCCTACTTCAGTCTGTTTTTCCTATCTATTGAATGTTTTAATTCCCATCAATCTTTATTTTTAACATCAATCTGCTTCTTCAAATTTTAATTTTTTAAATCCTTCTTAGCCTTTGAATTTTTGTCCCTAACCTTTACTCTTTGTCGATAGTGTGTGCTTATTACCAATTTATCTCTGTAAGAGGGAAGTACCAGAACTTAAAAAGAAGCATGGGCCTACAAATGTAAAGAAATTGATTTGCATTTATAAATAATGGAGACGGCAAGGTTCTGAGAAGTACTCAGCTGGTATTATCTCAAACTTGACTTTATTGATGATTTTTAACCACGAAATTTAGACTTTCCATAAGGATTATAACTTGCTTGTTTATCCCATTTCTTGGCTAAGGATGGGAACTACATTTCCCAGAATCCTCTTCCCTATATGGTTCTAGGTTAGAATTGAACAAAAGAGGAATGTGTATGAGATTTGAAAAGTGAATGAAACTGAAGCGACTGTGCTCAAAAGGTCATTGCTGTGAAACCGGGCGACAGGTAGAGACAGATGCTGCGAGTCCCAGCTTGTCCTGCTGTTCTCCATTCTGTGTCTTGCCTCTCTTGCCACCTGCTGGTTCGGCTGATCAATAACAGCCCCTGACCCAGGGTGTAGGCGATAGCTACACAAAGACGAACCTTTCCCCAGAGATGGCAATTTCGAGACCCTCCATGAATACGCTCTTTGCAGTCCCACTTTGGCAACTGGTCACGCTTGATTTCCTGGATTTCTCGGCCAGCTGCAGTTTGTTACTCACATCAGTGCTTCAGTGGACTCTTCAGCCTATTTCTCTGATTCTCTGACTCTCCCTTCCAGACCTTCACTTTTGCAACTCTTTTCATATTCGTGTAAGTCCTAATTCCTATAGTAAATTAGTTATTCTCATTATCATTACAGTGTCTCTTGGAACTCTTCGATCTTCGTGCTCGGCTGTCTTTATTGCTTCAGGTGTCTTCCCTGATAGTTGCAAATGGCCACCACAACCGAGCGTTCCCTACTCACCTGACGTTGCTCCAAGCAGCAAGCAAGCGCACGGGTACTTACAAGTCTTTCTCCATACAATCTTCTCTTGTTTCAGGAAAGAATGTTGTTTTTACCAGAAGCCTCTAACAGAATTCCCCTCTAAGTCTCCTAGGTCAGATCAGGCATCTTCCCCTGGTCACTGATAAAGGAGCTAAATTGCCATGATTGGCTCAGACTTGTGGTCCTGTCCTTGGCTGCACAACAGGGAACATTTTAAAACGTATTTGCACCCGCACCCAACTTGCAACGATTCTGATCGAATTGTTTTGGGGTGGTGCTGTGGCTCAATATTTGTAAAATGCTTTCGCAGAGATTATAATGTGCAGCCAGGGTTGAGAACCACTGCTTGGATCAAACATGATTCATTCTCTTAATATTTCACAGTGCCTGAGCAAATCAGTGTTCTGTATAAGGAAGAAGGTAGAAATGCTGAGGGATTGGCAATCAAGATTTATTCATCCAAATTATCTCATTCAAGCATGACCGATGGAATAGATGGAAATATGACTAAATTTCCCACTTGATTTTCATCATCTAACATCACTAAGAGTTACCAGAGTTTAAACAAGTTATTTGACTAAATCTAGGAATAATAATACAACAGCTATTCTCTATTCCTTAGTTACTGGAAGTAAAGCCATTCTGAATGAGCTACTAAACCACGTGGCACAGAGCTCAAGAAATAACTATTCCTTTGTGGGGCACCTAATGAATTAGCCTTATTTAATTACTTATATAATTAATTGCATGATTAATATAATTAATTATATAATTAATTGCATGATTAATATAATTAATTATATAATTAATTGCATGATTAATATAATTAATTATGGGGGTGGGAACATGGAGAGATGGTCAAAGGGTACAAAGTTTCAGTTAGAAAACATGTTTTTGAGATATATCGCACAGCATGGTGACTATAGTTAATAATGTATCTTTCAAAATTGCTAACAGGGCAAATTTTAAATATACCACAAAAAATGGTAAGTATGTGAGGTGATGGATTTAATTAGCTTAATTTAATCATTTTACAATACGTAGATATATCAAAACATCACATTGTACCCCACAAATATATATAATTGTCAATTAAAAACAATTAAAATCTTTAAAAAAATCCCTGTAGTTCTGAATTTGAGTTGGAAGTATCAGTATGATATTGTAACATTATTTTTTTTTTGTATTTTCATTATAATTAATTTTTTTTTTTTTTGTGAGAGAGGGTCTCACTTTGTCACCCAGGCTGGAGTGCAGTGGCAAGGATCTCAGCTCACTGCAACCACCCCCTCCTGTGTTCAAGCGATTCTCAAGGCTCAGCTCTCTGAGTAGCTGGGATTACAGTTGCACATCACCATGCTCAGCTAATTTTTGTATTTTTAGTAGAGATGGGGTTTTATCATGTTGGCCAGGCTGGTCTCGAACTCCTGACCTCAAGTGATCTGCCTGCCTTGACCTCCCAAATTGTTGGGATTACAGGCATGAGCCACAGCACCCAGTCTCAGTATAGTTTATTTTATACTACAGTTTAATTATCTTTATAGTGCACTTATTTTTTTCCACTTATTTTTTGAGACTGGATCTCCCTCTATCGCCCAGCCTGGAGTACAGTGTTGCAATCTTGGCTCACTGCAACTTCTGCCTCCCAGGCTCAAGCTGTCCTCCCACTTTAGCCTCCATAATAGCTGGGACTATAGGCACAGACCACCATGCCCATCTAAGTTTTGTATTTTTTGTAGAGAGGGGTTTTGCCATGTTGCCCAGGCTGGTCTTGAACTCCTGGTCTCAAGCCATCTGCCTACATCAGCCTCCCAAAGTGCTGGGATTACGGGAGTGAGCCACCATGCCTGGCCAGTATAATGCACTTACTTCTTAAACTCTGACTTTCTTTCTGCCACTTTTGCTTATAATTACATAATTTTTTGATATAATATTATAATATTTACCCTTAGGAGAGATCAGAATCATACATCACTCCTCACAGAAATTGAGAGACTTTTTTCCTGTTAAACAGCATGTTTTAGTGATTTCTCTATTGCCATGGTAAGGCAAGCCAGGTTAAATCAGAGGAGAATGTTTAAGGGAATGTTCCTGAAAATTGTCTTATTTCTTATCTTCACTTTTGTGCATGGATACAGAATTTGTGTCTATTTCATGAATTTCAGATTAACTTGTATAGAAAAGTCATTATGATGTTCTCTAAAATGCAAATGTGTTAGATTAATTTACAAACTATTTGAAAAGTTAGGCATTTCCTTCATTCTCCTTTCATTTAAAATTATTGCAAAAGCATAGAAATATTCAGATCATGTGGAGTATGTACATCCAAAATAGATAATTTAAAAAATTATCTTGATTCTGCCATTGGAATTTTTAAAACAACTTTACTGAGGTATAATTCACATACTGTATGGTTCGTCCATTTACAGTGTACAACTCAATGTCTCCCACAATATTCACAAAGTTGTGTAACCACCACCACAATCAATATTAGAATATTTTCATCACCCCGAAAAGAAATTCTGCATCTCTTAGCCATCACGGCCGCCCTCTTCCATGTTCCTTCACTTTCACCATTCCTAGGCAAACACCATCTACTTTTTGTGTCCATAGATTTGTCTGTTCTGGACATTTCATATAGATAAAGTCATACAAAATGTAGTTTTCTTTTTTAAAATTGTATTTTATTGGCCGAGCGAGGTGGCTCATGCCTGTAATCCCAGAACTTTGGGAGGCCGAGGCAGGTGGATCACCTGAGGTCAGGAGTTCAAGACCAGCCTGACCAACATGGCGAAATCCTGCCTCTACTAAAAAAACAAAAACATTAGGCAGGCGTGGTGGTGCATGCCTGTAATCCCAGCTACTCGGTAGGCTGAAGCAGAGAATTGCTTGAACCCGGGAGGCTGAAGTTGCAGTGAGCCAAGATCACGCCATTGCACTCCAGCCTCGGCAACAAGAGCAAAACTCTGTCTCAAAAAAAAAAATTGTATTTTAGATTCAGAGGATATGGTGCATGCTTGCTATGTGGGTATATTGGTGGATATTGGGCTTCTAGTTTACCCATTACCCAAATAGTGAACATTGTACCCAAAAGGTAATTTTTCGGCCCTTGCTCCCTTCCCACCCTCCCCTCTTCTGGAGTCCTCAGTGTCTATAATTTTCATCTTTATGTCCATATGTACCCATTGTTTAACTCCTACTTATATGTGAGAACATGTAGTGTTTGGTTTTCTGTTTCTGAGTTAGTTCACTTATGATAATGACCTCCAGCTCCACCCACATTGCTGCAAAGGATATGATTTCATTCTTTTTTGTGGTTATGCTTCTTTTTTAAAAGTATTTTTTTTACCTTTGTCCACTGAAAAGACCTGGAGATAATGACCAACCCAGTAAAAATAACATGTATTACGCAGACTGTGTTATAAATACCATTTCCAAATAAATGGAATTGATGCTTCTTGGAGGAATGACTGATTCTAGATATGGACCAGAATAAGTATATGATGAGGCTAAATCATCATGTCATAATAAAAAGCAAAGAAATGATCAATTCTACTGGGATCATATCAAAAACACATGGTGCCAACTTGAAGAAGCTGCCACTGTTCAAAGACAGGATGATTTGACCACTAATATGAATAATGGATTAATCTATTGCAATAGATTAAAGTGCAACAAATATGTTTAAAGCCATAAATTCATAATGATGCTTTAAAAAACCCTACTGATCATCTTCAGGGCACAGAAGGAAACCAACTCATTATTTTGAAATCTGATAAAGAACACATATCATACATTTATTCTGCCTTTCTTGTATGCATATAGATAATGAGGGGAAGCCAGGTGTGGTGGCTCACGCCTGTAATCCCAGCATTTTGGGAGGCTGAGGCGGGTGGATCACCTGAGGTCAGGAGTTCGAGACCAGCCTGACCAATATGATGAAACCCCCACTAAAAATACAAAATTAGCTGGGCGTGGTGATGGGCACCTGTAATCCCAGCTACTCAGGAGGCTGAGACAGGAAAATCACTTGAACCCGGGAGGCAGAGGTTGCAGTGAGCTGAGATCGCACCAATGCACTCCAACCTGGGCAACAAGAGCAAAACTCCAACTCGGAAAAAAAAAATTCCCAAAAAGGAGCTATCTAACACTATGTGCCTCCTAATAAAAGTGCCACCTACAATGCAATATTATCAAGCAGACAAAAAACTCTTAATCTGAACAAGTCTCTGTCATTACCAATTTACAGAAAATACAAGAGAGAGGAGCATGTTCAATAGCACCATTGAACTGTCAGAATCCATTTGAGAAAAAAGTTTTTAAAAATATATACATAAAAAAATCCACCCTGTGAATGCAGTCAGCAAAATCTAGAATATAGGATATCTACAGGACAAACAACCCAATTTTTTCAACAAATAAATTGCAAAAAAAAATTGAGAAAGAACCTATAAAAGAAATATACCAACCAGTTGCAATGTATGGAAATTATTTGAATCCTAAATTGAATAAACTTAAAAAAAATGAGATAAAGAAACTTGAGCAGTGATTAGATACATTGGATACTTGATTATATTAAGCAGTTATTGTTCATTTCTAAGTGTGATAATATGATGGTATGTTTAGAAAAAAGAAATTATTTTTTAGAAATCCACAATGAAATATATTCAGATGAAATGATATTGCTTCTGGGGTTTGCTTCAAATTATCTAGTATGGTGGGGGGTGTTGTATTAGGTATCTATTGCTGCATAACAAATTACTCCTACATTTTGCAACTTAAAACAACAAACATTTATCTCAAAGTTTCTGTACATCAGATATCCAGGCCTGGAGCCGTGGCTCATGCCTGTAATCCCAACACTTTGGGAGGCTGAGGCGGGCAGATCACTTGAGTTCAGGAGTTTGAGACCAACCTGGCCAACATGGTGAAACCCTGTCTCTGCTAAAAGTACAAAAATTATTTGCGGAGCATGGTGGCGTGCGCCTGGAATTAACTGTTTGAACTCGGGGCGGAGGTGGCAGTGAGCTGAGATCGCACCACTGCGCTCTATCCTGGGCCATAGAGCGAGACCCTGCCTCAAAAAAAAAAAAAAAGTTTCTGTGGGTGAGGAATCCAGAAGCAGCTTAGTTGCATGTTTCTGGCTGAAGGTTGCTGCAATTATCTGAAGTCTAGAGGGTCTGCTTCCAAGTTTACTCGGTGTTTGGCTGAGCTCATGCCTCACTGGCTGAAGCTAGAAATCTCATTTTCTTTCCACATGGGCCTTTCCATAGGGTGCTTAGTTAACAGCAAGATGTGGCAGCTAGCTTCCCGAAAAATGAAAGCCTAAGATAGAAGCTTCAGTCTTTTATAACCTAATCTCAGAAAAGACACACCATCGCTTCTGCCATATTCTGATGGTCACACAGACTAACTCTGATACAACATGGAAAAGGGACCACTGATGGGTATAAATACAATGAGGCAAGGACCGTTAGGCGCCATCTTAGGAACTAGCTACCACATTGACCCAATGTTTTATGGACTTAGGTCAAGCCTTCATCCTTCCCCTGACCATAAACCCAAACCTGACTGGTGGACCATAGTAGTATTTCTAGACTTTGGTTTCATTTTTCAAATAGAAATTGTTGGTAAATTTTAGATCTTCTTCTACAAGGAACAGCCTGATTTATATATGCAGCCAGGCAAGCAACTTAATGCCAATATTTATACTTGGAAGTTTATCCTGTCAAGTTTTTACTTTTCGAGCTGCATTTCTGTGACGGGTTTGAATATTCAGATGCACCAACGAGCACTATCAAACCTGGCTGTATTTATTTTTATACATAGCATATTTTAACTAGCATAACTACAAGTATTATTTAATTAATGTCTAAATATTTGCTTTGTTTTTCTTTCCTTTTTTTCTTTTTTTGAGATGGAGTTTCACTCTTGTTGCCCCAGGCTGTAGTGCAATGGTGAGGCCTTGGCTCACTGCAACCTCTGCCTGTTGGGTTCAAGTGATTCTCCTGCCTCAGCCTCCCAAGTAGCTGGAATTACAGGTGCCTGCCACCATGCCCAGCTAATTTTTGTATTTTTAGTAGAGACAGGGTTTCACCATATTGGCCAGGCTGTTCTCAAACTCCTGACCCTCAGCTGATCCACCCTCCTCGGCCTCCCAAAGTGGTGGGATTACAGGCATGAGCCACTATGCCTGGCCAATATTCGCTTTCTTTAAATCTGTATCTTAATAGCATCCAGCTGATAGCTAGCTACCCATGAAAATTATTTGAATATACTTTTGCAGCAGGGGCATTTTAATGTTTCTTTTGCAATCCAGAACCTCTAAGGAGAAGTTGTTTTGGTTTAGATTACTTGTTTTTATTATACTATAGCCAGTAGTTCATGTTTAAATTTCGACCTGCTAGTCTAAATTCCACGAAGGCAATGACTGGGTTTGTCCTCACCACTTTGTCTTCGTTGCCTGATACATAGGATGTAATATTCATGCAATGAGTGTCTATGGAATTAATGCATGATTTCTGGATTCTAGCAAATTGAAAAACTGAATAGCTCCCTCAAGACTGAAAATTTAAGATCCTAGCATACATGATAAAAATTAAGTCATAGATGTAAAATACTAACTAGTAAAACAGAAAAGAACAAACATTTACAGAGCTGTTTTTTTAGCATTCTGCCCGATTTTTTCTTTTCTTTTTTTTTCTTTTTTTTTTTTTGAGATGGAGTCTCGCTCTGAAGTGCAGTGGCATGATCTCAGCTCACTGAAACCTCTGCCTGCCGGGTTCAAGCAATTTTCCTGCCTCAGCCTCCGGAGTAGCTAGGACTACAGGCACGTGCCACCACGCCTGGTTATTATTATTATTATTTTTTGTATTTTTAGTAGAGGCGGAGTTTTACCATGTTAGCCAGGATGGCCTCGATCTCCTGACCTCGTGATCTGCCTGCCTCAGCTTCCCAAAGTGCTGGGATTACAGGCGTGAGCCATCGTGCCCGGTAACTCTCTGATTTTTTTTTTTTTTTTTTTTTTTTTTGAGATGGAGTCTTGCTCTGTCTCACCCAGGCTGGAGTACAGTGGCATGATCTTGGCTCACTGCAGCCTCCGCCTCCCAGGTTCAAGTGATTCTCCTGCCTCAGCCTCCTGAGTAGCTGGGACTACAGGCATGCACTACCACACCCGGCCAATTTGTGTATTCTTAGTAGAGACAGGGTTTCACCATGTTGGCCAGGCTGGTCTCGAACTTCTGACCTCAGGTGATCCACCTGTCTCAGCCTCCCAAAGTGCTGGGGTTACAGGCATGAGCCACTGCACCCGGCCAACTGTCTGTTTTTCTTATGATTGCATTCAAGTTAGGGGAAATACCTCAGTAGAGATTTTTCTGAAACAGTTTCCTTGCAAAGGAAACAGATATTTAGATACAGTGTGCTGAAACTGGGGGCAAGCCTGGTTGCAGATTTTATCATGTTACAGATTTTGCATTATTATGATAATTAAAGAAACCTGCTGTTGAGTTAGTTCTCTCAGGCTGGATTCTTCATTGACAAGAAATGGAAGTTACTGGTGAAGTTCTGTGGCATCATCTTATCAACACTATTTTTTGGCCTCTAGTGTGGGCAGGTCTCTAATAAACAGGTAACTGAATAAAAGAATTATAATGAATCACACCTACCCAAGTCCCATTTGATCTAGTTGAACTCTGTTGCTTATTCCTTCAATCTAGGGGCTTTTAGCTGTATATTCATTGTTTTGAGTTCCTATGTTAATGAAGTTCTAGTGCACGTCCACTTGTAAAATGGTCTTTATTTTAGCACTAGTAGTGTCCAGTATATCCAAACCTATTTATTGGTCTTCTTGCCAATGAATGTAGCCAATAACACAATGTAAACAAGTGAAACTGGAATTTAAGTTGCTGAATTTTATGAAGTTGTGAAAGTTGTCAGAATCAAAATGCAATCATTAACGTCAGAACAACAAAAACAGCAACAAAACTCTAGAGCCAGGAAAGGCCATGAAGAGAGGGTTCTCATGCTTTTATGCTTGATAACAAAGACTATCACAAAGACTACAAAAACCAACCTTGCACAAAGGCCATTGCAACCTTACACAACAAATTCTTTTGCAAGGACATCTGCCCAGCAACTGACTATCCAATCCTGGACTGACGTCACCCTTGTTATTGATCTTTGCAGCCAAAGATAATTATTTGAAAACAATTATGTCATCCTCATTCTTTTCTTAAAAACCTTTGTGTTCCTTTACCTCCCTGAATATGCACATAGTTTACTCTGGCATGAATAATCTCACTGCAATGCCCTATTCCCAAATAAGTACCTTTTCTTTTAGAGAGCCTCTCTCTGTTGTTTAGACTGACAAAGTCAATGAAAGTGATGTTTGAGAACTGCTCAAATAATAACAAAAGTTATTGTCAGATAAGGATCTAGCAGAGTTAAGTCAATTAAAAATGGAAACAAATGAAAATTTATATGGATGCTGTATTAGATGCTTCAAGACAAAATTATCTAAATAATAACTGGCTAAGGCTGGCCTTTGGAAAAATTAAAGTCCTGAAATATTTTTGCAAAAAATGACCAAGTTTGTGACTATATTCTGCAAGTCAGAAGTGAAATGGACATTATATTGTCACTCCCCCAAAAATCAACACTTGACAGCCGGGTGCAGCGGCTCATGCCTGTAACTAAAGAAGTTCCCAAGGGCAATTCTTTTTATCATTTCACTATAAAATCTTTATTTTTTTTTTCATGATTGGAAAGTAATGGCCAGGCACGGTGGCTGCGTAAATGTCATCTCTTTTTTTTTGAGACGGAGTCTTGCTCTGTCTCCCAGGCTGGAGTGCAGTGGTGTGATCTTGGCTCACTGCAACCTCCGCCTCCCATGTTCACGGCATTCTCCTGCCTCAGCCTCCTGAGTAGCTGGGACTAGGGCGCCCACCACCACGCCTGGCTAATTTTTTGTATTTTTAGTAGAGACGGAGGTTTCACGGTGTTAGCCAGGATGGTCTCCATCTCCTGACCTCGTGATCCACCGGCCTCGGCCTCCCAAAGTGCTGGGATTACAGGCATGAGCCACCGCTGCTGGCCAAATGTCATCTTTTGAGAGTGTCTGTTCATGTACCTTGCCCACCTTTTGAAGGGGTTGTGTTTTTTCTTGTAAATGTGTTTAAGTTCCTTGTAGATTCTGGATATTAGACCTTTGTCAGACGGATAGACTGCAAAAATTTCCTCCCATTCTGTAGGTTGTTTGTTCACTCTGATGATAGTTTCTTTTGCTGTGCAGAAACTCTTTAAAAGTAATCCCAGCAGTTTGGGAGGCCAACGCGGGAGGATCACCTGAGATCAGGAGTTCAAGACCAGCATGGCCAACATGGGGAAACCTCATTTCTACTAAAAAAAAAAAAACATAAAAATTAGTTGGCGTGGTGGCATATGCCTGTAGTCCCAGCTACTCAGGAGGCTGAGGCAGGAGAGTTGCTTGAACCCAGGAGGCAGAGGTTGCAGTGAGCCATGATCACAACCACTGCACTTCGGCCTAGGTGACAGAGCGAGACTCCATCTCAAAAAAATATAAAATAAAATAAAATAAAATAAAATAAAATAAAATAAAATAAAATAATTAAATTGAAATTGAATGAATGAGCTATTTCATATTACTGTAGATACCTCCATTATATTATCACTTCCAAAAATTGTGTGTATTGCCACCTCTAAAAAAACAGAACATGTGTGTATATGTATGTGTCAGTTTGGATATCTTTAAAAAATGAATAATGTCAACTTTTCCCAGTGTGTTCTGTAGAACACTAATCCCAAGCAGTCATCTGAAAAAAAAGGCATCTGCAGTGGTACAGGATGTTTTCTGTTTCCCACACGCTATTCTCTGTTCTGCTCTGTCCCCAAAAGGCTGATCTGTATAGATGACAGGTTCATTTGCCCTCTGCCTGGGGAGAGAGGGGAAAAGAGAGACTAGTAGGACATCAAAGGGGATGCGGAAATGAGGCTGAATATTTCTCGGTCTTTTATCGGTCTCCACCTGGATTGCTGTTAGTTGGCTGTATCTTCCAACTAAGGTCACAGCTTCTTTGAGGAAGTCCTATCCATTTAGCTCTTCTCTTCAGTCCCAGTAACTGGTCCCCCTCTCTTGCCTCTTTAGGCTGGGAGGTGGCAACTGTATCACAACATTCCTGTTGGCTTCCCTTTATTAAATGCTTCTTAGTTGCCGGGCGCGGTGGCTCACACCTATAATCCCAGCATTTTGGGAGGCCGAGGCGGGTGGATCACCTGAGGTCAGGAGTTTGAGCAAGCCTGACCAAAATGGTGAAACCCCGTCTCTACTAAAAAACAAAATTTGCTGGGTGTGGTGGCACATGCCTGTAATCCCAGCGACCCGGGAGGCTGAGGCAGGAGAATCACTTAAACCCAGGAGGCAGAGGTTGCAGTGAGCTGAGATAGTGCCACTGCACTCCAGCCTGATGACAGAGCGAGACTCCATCTCAATAAATAAATAAATAAATAAATAAATAAATAAATAAATAAATGCTTTTTTCCTTTTTATAAAGTTCTGGGATACATGTGCCGAATGTGCAGGTTTGTTACATAGGTAAACGTGCCATGGTGGTTTGCTGCCTATTAACTCATCACCTAGATATTAAGCCCAGCATGCATTAGCTATTTATCCTGATACACTCCTTCCCCCCATCCCCCAACAGGCCCCAGGGTGTGCTGTTCCCCTCCCTGTGTCCACGTGCTCTCATTGTTTAGTTCCCACCCACTTATGAGAAGATGCAGTGTTTGGTTTTCTGTTCTTGTGTTAGTTTGCTGAGAATAATGGCTTCCAGCTTCATCCATGTCCCTACAAAGGACATGAGCTTATTCCTTTTTATGGCTGCATAGTATCCCATGGTGTATATGTACCACATTTTCTTTATCCAGTCTATCGTTGATGGGCATTTGGGTTGGTACCATGTCTTTGCCATTGTGAATAGTGCTGCAATGAACATATGCATGCATATATCTTTGTAATAGAATGATTTCTGTTCCTTTGGGTATACACCCAGTAATGAGATTGCTGGGTCAAATGGTATTTCTGGTTCTAGGTCTTTGAGGAATTGCCACACTGTCTTCCACAATGAACTAATTTACATTCCCACCAACAGTGTAAAAGTGTTCCTATTTCTCCACAGCTTTGCCAGCAGCTGTTGTTTCTTGACTTTTTAATAATTGTCATTCTGACTGGTGTGAGATGGTATCTCTTTGTGGTTTTGATTTGCATTTCTCTAATGACAAGTGATGATGAGCACTTTTTCATGTTTGTCAGCTGCATAAATGTCATCTTTTGAGAGTGTCCATTCATGTCCCTTGCCCACTTTTTGATGGGGTTGTGTTTTTTCTTGTAAATGTGTTTAAGTTCCTTGTAGATTCTGGATATTAGACCTTTGTCAGATGGATAGACTGCAAAAATTTCCTCCCATTCTGTAGGTTCTTTGTTCACTCTGATGATAGTTTCTTTTGCTGTGAAGAAACTCTTTAATTAGATTCCATTTGTCAATGTTTGCTTTTGTTACAATCGCTTTTGACATTTTCATTATGAAATATTTGCCTGTGCCTATGTCCTGAATAGTATTGCCTATATTTTCTTCTGGGGTTCTTATAGTTTTGGGTTTTACACTTAAGTTTTTAATCCACCTTGACTTAAGTTTTGAAAAAGGTGTAAGGAAGGGGTCTAGTTTCAATTTTCTGCATATGGCTAGCCAGTTTTCCCAATGCCATTTATTAAATAGGGAATCCTTTCCCCACTACTTTTGCCAGGTTTGTCAAAGATCAGAGGGTTGTAGATGTGCGGTCTTATTTCTGAGATGTCTATTCTGTTCCATTAGTCTGTGTGTCTGTTTTTGTACCAGTACCATGCTGTTTTGGTAGCCTTGTAGTATAGTTTGAAGTCAGGTAGTGTGATGCCTCCAGCTTTCTTCATTTTGCTTAGGGTTGTCTTGGCTTTAGAAGCTCTTGTTTTTGGTTCCATATGAATTTTAAAGTAGTTTTTTCTATTTCTATGAAGAATATCAGTGGCAGTTTAATGAGAATAGCATTGAATCTATAAATTACTTGGGGCAGTATGGCCATTTTCACGATATTGATTCTTCCTATCCACGAGGATGGAATGTTTTCCCATTTGCTTGTGTCCTCTGATTTCTTTGAGCAGTGGTTTGTAGTTCTCCTTGAAGAAGTCCTTCACATCCCTTGTTAGTTGTTTTCCTAGTTATTTTATTCTCTTTGTAGCAGTTGTGAATGGGAGATCACTCATGATTTGGCTCTCAGCTTGTCTATTGTTACTGTATGGGAATGCTTGTGCTTTTTGCACATTGACTTTGTATCCTGAGACTTTGCTGAAGTTGCTTGTCAGCTTAAGAAACTTTTGGGCTGAGATGATGGGGTTTTCTAGATATAGGATCATGTCATCTGCAAAGAGAGACAGTTTGATTTGCTCTCTTCCTATTTGATTACCCTTTATTTCTTTCTCTTGCCTCATTGCCCTGGCCAGAACTTCCAATGCTATGTTGAATAGGAGTGGTGAGAGAGGCCATCCTTGTCTTGTGCCGGTTTTCAAAGGGAATGGTTCTGGTTTTTGCCCATTCGGTATGATATTGGCTAGGAGTAGGCATAAATGGCTCTTACTATTTTGAGGTCTGTTCCATTAATACCTAGTTTATTGAGAGTTTTTAATATGATGGGATATTGAATTTTATCAAAGGCCTTTTCTGCATCTATTGAGATAATCATGTGGTTTTTGTCTTTAGTTCTCTTTATGTGATGCATTATAATACATTTATTGATTTGCATATGTTAAACCAGCCTTGTGTCCCAGGGATAAAGCCAACTAGATCGTGGAGGATAAACTTTTTTTTTTTTGAGGATAAGCTTTTTGATGTGCTGCTGGATTCAGTTTGCCAGTATTTTACTGAGGATTTTTACATCAATGTTCGTCAGGTATATTGGCCTGAAATTCTTTTTTTCTTGTTTCTCTATTAAATGTTTAATTATCCACTGTGAGTGAACAATCTGTCTTCTTCCGGGACACTGATTGATACAATGGATAAATACAATATTGTTCTCTTGGAAAGATTAAAAATTCACACCAGCATATTAAAGGCTCTAATATTGCAGTAAATAATGTCTAAGTTAGCCCAGTGTTTGCCAAACTTATTCATGAGACCATTTCTCTAATATATCTAAGAATATCCCTTGAAAATATTTGATTATAAAATTTCTTGGCTTAAAAACCACAAAACTGGCCGGGCACGGTGGCTCACGCCTGTAATCCCAGCACTTTGGGAGGCCAAGGCGGGTGGATCACGAGGTCAGGAAATGAGACCACCCTGGCTAACACATTGAAACCCCATCTCTATTAAAAACAAACAAACAAACAAACAAAAACCCCACAAAACCAAACTTGGCCGAGCGCAGTGGCTCACTCCTGTAATTGTAGCGCTTTGGGAGGCCAAGGCAGGCAGATCACTTGAGCTCAGGAATTTGAGACCAGCCTGGGCAACATGGCGTAACCCCTTTTCTACTACAAATACAAAAGCTAGCCAGGTGTGGCGGTGCACACCTGTAGTCCCCAGCTACTCAGGAGGCTGAGGTAGGAGTATCGCTTGAACCCAGGTGGTTGAAGCTGCAGTGAGCCAAGATTGTACCACTGCACTCCAGCCTGGGTGACAAGTGAGATCCTGTCTCAAAAAAGAAAAAAAGTAAATGCAGTACTAATCTAAACACACACACACACACATACACAAAACCAAACTTAATGGTTTATATTCTTGATGACTATTGTCAATCCTTGTAAGCAGCTAATCGTTTTGTGCTGTGTAGGAAATACCGATTTCCTTATGGTCAATTGAGGTGTATAAGCTTAAAGCTATTAGTCATAGCATTGACTTGTCCCAAGTGGCTGTACTTTTTATATTTAGTTTTTATGATTCCAAATGTCTCGTTATCAGGCTTACAAGTGTATCTTAATTGCTACCCATGTGCTTCTCAACTTTAGTGCCTGAATTTCATGACATCTATTTTGGCTGCCTGGAAACTTTAACCCCTTTATGTTGGGCATTTCAGTTATGTAAAACGCTGCTGTGGATGTACTCTTTTAAACCCTGAGGTGGAGGTGATTAATTCTGTGTAGTTCTGGCCTTTCAGCATGTGATAGAAATGCATTTCTGAGTTAAGTGACATGTATGATTTCTTAGTCAAGCTTTTAATCACCGTGAGACACTCTAAATCCCTTTTTGCCTTCTGTCACAGCTAGGTTTCTCCTAAAAATACAAAATTCCTGTATTAAAAATACAAAATTGGCCAAGTGTGGTAGCGCATGCCTGTAATCCCAGCTACTTGGGAGGCTGAGGCAGGAGAATCACTTAAACCCAGGAGGTGGAGGTTGCGGTGAGCCAAGATCAGGCCATTGCACTGCAGCTTGGGCAACAGCAAAACTCCATCTCAAAACAAAAAACAAAAAAAGTCATGCATATTTATTTACATAACTGTGTGGTGTAGTGGACCAGCTCAAACACAGGTCTGAATCCCTGACTTCTACCACTTATTAGCTAGTCCCCTATCTGGAGGCTCAAATCCCTTACTGTAAAATTGGGACAAGACTGTTGGAAGGGAATCAAATTATAAAAACTACCTGAAAATAAAATCATTAATAAATGGTAGCTATCAATTTATTAACTGGTTACTGCGGCAATATATATAATTATAAAATCACCATCAATCCTTTCATTCATACGTTAACACATATCACTGGTTTAATTCATTGAAGGCAAATACAAGTTTTTCCCTTACTTTCCTTCCAAGATTCCACTTAGGCTGGTTACCCCAAACGTAATGGAGAAACATTAAATGTCACTTTTAAACCACTTTTAAACCAGTCTTTAATTTTCAATTCAGGTGTGAGGCACATATATACACACAAACATATTAATTTAAGGAAGCAAGAATGTAGAATATTAACATGTATGGCAGACACTACTTCATGTATTTTGTTTAAAACTTAACTTTGAAATAACTTCATTGTTTACATGTAAAAGAAAAATATCATTCACTTATACTTCCACTTCCCTTTAAAGTATTCTCAAATTATATTTCCTGAAACTCCAATAGAAAGCATTCTCTCTTAATCATGGCAACGGGTCGGGTACTCATTGGTGACCAAAATCTGGTGACACCATCTTTTATGTTCTTTGCCATATTCTTAAATGCCTGGCAAACAGTAGATATTTACCAGATGAATATGACATTAAAAAAATAAATTTCAAGAGATTGAGATTCTTTAGCCAAGTTGAGGGACTACATCATTTTGAAGCACTCTAGAAGGGGGATGTGATTAAATGTGACTGCATGCCTGGGCTGGCTGCTTCTAGGTATAGAGCTGTGTTAAGGCGTGGGAATAGGAGAGCAATGCCCTAGGGAAAAGAGGGCACTAGGGGAAACAATGGTTGCAGTGCACTGCAGAATGACCAATGGCACCTACTTCCAGAGTTTTCCTTCAACTAAAAAGAGATGGCATTTTCTTATGATTCAGTAACCGCATTACTTACATCAACATTATGGTTGCTATAGACAAGCCTAGGTAGCTAGCCTCTATTTACATCATCCCACTAAGGGTATCCAAACCCAAGTAACCAAATTTTAGAACACTATCAGATAGTTTCCTGCATTCAAGACTTCAACTCATAACTCTTTGAACTCTTATTAGATATAAGGAATCTAAGATGTATTATAGGCATTCCTATAATTAGCCATATTTACAAGATACAAAATATTTGGATAAAAAGCAAATTTCATCACATCGTATAATGTACAGATAAGGTTTATAAAGTAAATTAATTTATTTTTAGCACCATATATACAATCCAAACACTGCAAATTAATTTCTTTTCAAACTCAAAAGATAGTTTTCATTAATCATGATGGCACATCCTCTCTCTCAATAAACGCAAATGCTGTTTTATGGGCTGTGTGGTAATAGTTTAACATTTAGTAATTGATTATATAAAATTATGTTCTCAAGACTAGGCTGCATTTCCTTTAAAAAAAAAACAAAACCTCAGGTTAAAAATTAGCCAAAAATTTGTGATTACTATCACAAATAATCCAAGATTTAAATAACCAAGGGCCTCCAGAGGCCCCTGTTCTTCCTTTTGCCCTGTCTAAAATCCAATGAAATATATTAAGTGTTAAACTGGTATGAAGAGGTGGAACTAAATTCTTTGAAACACAAGGTGGAGTATCACTTTTTACTTAAACTTTGAGTCCTTTACATTTATAACTGCTATTCAAAAAAAATTAGACAAAGACATCTAGATTTAGATTAACGTGATCAAAGGGATTATTGTGGATCATTAAAGGAAACTTAACATTAAGCCTTCATGTACCAAATACTAATATTTAAATTAATTTCAAAATCTATAAAGGTATGTAATTATTAATTTGCAAAGGAGAAAACTGAGGCTCAGAAGTTGCACAAAACCATGAACTAGTGGAACTGAGCTTTACAAACCAAGGCTGTCCTCTACTATACATTATTTCTCCTCAGTACACAATAATAAATTGGTTCAAAATTATCTAGACCTTTAAAAAGTATATAATGGAAAGTGCTTTTAGTATTAAAGTTTTCATGAATGACCCTAACAAATTTTGTCTAAAAGTTTACTAAAATGCTGACATCATTTATAATCCTTCATTTATTTGTAAAAAGATGAGGACACACATTAAGTGAAGTGCAATTCATTTTGTCTTCTACAAAATAAGTTAATTTTAAGCAAACCAATCTCAATGATGATAAATGCATGTCATTATTTATTTAGATGTTTCAGCTCTCGCACTAAGTTTTTACAAGCTGGTGAACACTGACAAAATTATTTCTCCCACAGAACTATAACCACACATCCCCAGACAGTATAAATATATGGTTGAACTAACATTAATACACATCACCATTTTATCAATTACATAATAAAACAAATTGTCAAGTATCCAAATATTAAGTTACACAGCTCAAAAGGCATATAAAATATTAGATGTCTGCTCAATTCATTAGCAGAAACCCATTTCTTTTTTTGCAAGAGAGGTTGGGAAGGAAAAAAAAAATCACACTTTCAAACAAAAATAAGTTGGTAAACACACTTCTGATAAGTATGGGAAAAAAATTACAAGAATTTCAGGAAGTTTATGATTACAATAACAAAGCATCTCTACCTTTTAAAAAAATATTTTACTAAATTAAAGAGCATATTCTACATGTTTGCACAAGACAAAGGCAACATTTTGCTAAAAATAATTAATAGCCCCCTCCCATTCTTTTCTCAGGCCCTCCCTGTTAAGTTGCACCTCAGAGTGCAAACATTAAATTAATGTAAGGCTTTTTTGTCTGAAGACATTAAAGACATGTGCTTCTGTACAACGTAGATTTTCAAAATGGAGGTTTTTTTAATACAGCACAAAGTGAGATACATGGAAACACGTAAAATAATCACTGTAAGACTTGGTAAAAAAAAAAAAAAATCAATGGTTAAGCAAACCTGACGTATATTGGTATGAATGTGGGAGATGTAAACATAAAGTGAGCAGGCAAATAACCATGTAGGCCCTACTTTCAATGTTTGAAATGATTGAAGGAATAAACCACATAAGGTCTAGTGTTCATAGTTCCTGGGATTTTACTTCTGTATGGTACTAAAAATATACAAGTATTGTGCTGGGTATTTTGGCACCTAATCTTCCTAAATTTCTTATGTATTGATAAGATTCTGGCATGGGAATAGATTTAACAAGTCATAACTCAATACTGCATGATTTGGGGAAAGGTCAATTGATACAAATGACAAGCACATTTTATATGCTGACAGCAAGAATCTTTTGCCAAGTATCCAAATAGGTTGACTGTAACCCAAATACAGAGGTTGCCAAATCTGTCTAGCTTGAGGCCTGGTAAAACTGCCTTTCAATACTCCTATGGAAGCTTCATTAGACTTACTAAGCCAACATGTTGGCTAATATGTATAACAAATTAGGCCCTATCTCAAGTTCCACTTCCAGTAGCATTAGGCACCCCAATTTTATTGAATGCAACAGTTGTTTCTATGACCGTTGGAATCTTTGAAACGCAGCCGCATTTTAGGACGATACTTCTCCAAATACAGAAGTTGCTTGCTGTTAAAAGCTCCACGCCGCTTTCTGGGAGGAAAAAAAAAAAAAAATGAAACAAGGCAAAAGCCCCCTACAGTAATATTTAGTGTCTTATAGACAACCATCACCTCTCTTGTGGCAATTTATCTTTTGATTAATTAGGCTGTGACCTGATGCAGAAAGGAATATGAACAGGCACATCAGTGTAAATGGAAAAAATCATAAAAAGTTAATTTTCTTTATATCTTCGTTTGAGTATTGGTTACAACAGTCGACTCACAAATCCATTTACACGTAAGTCCACGAAAAGACAAAACTAATTTATAGTGAAGTCAGAAGTTGCCTCTGGTAGCAGGGAAGATGACTACAAAAGCCACAAAGGCATGTTCTACAGCACTCAAAATATTCTATGTGTTGTATTGGATGGTTAATTTGGCTGTTATTGTCAACTGGTCTCCTTTGGAGACCTGTGCATTTTATTGTATCTTTAAATGTATCTTAATTATACCTCAATAAAAATACAAAATAACCAACATATTCAATCAAGTATTTAAAGCAAAACAATAATTCAAAAACTCTTGTTGGATTAGAATCTTAGTAATATGAGCAACTGCATGAAATGCAAAAAAGAATGTAAGATCTTGATTTCCTGGTTTTAATACTATCTCAAAAAATAATCATAATGATTAAATGGGCTATTAGACTATTAAACTCACTGACACTCAACAAGGAAATGAAAGAGAGTACAAATGAAAAGAGAATCCATTACTTACTGTCTTATGAATTGTACTGCATCTTCGTATTTCATTCCACCTTCAATTAATGCTAGGGCAACAAGTACTGGAGCTCTGGTGAGGTAAGAATTTTGATAAATAGTTTTTTCAAAATCAGATCTTTGTAAATTTATTTCTCCAAACATTCCCCAACTCAGAAGTATTATCTACCACCCTTCCTATTTAAGTAATACCTATGACAAATGTTGACTTTATATTAAAAAATTATAAGAATTTTTCAAGTTTCTGTATTTTCATTATCAATAGATTTTTACCTAGAATCAAATTGATAAATTCATTTACCTCCCAAGGCCTGCAACGCAATGAACAGCAATACAACAACCAGGTTCTTCACGAAACTTAATTTTCACAAGACTTAACCAGTCATCAACAATCTGGTTGGATGGTGGTGCACCATCATCAAAAGGCCAATCCTAAGTCAGAAGAATATTTAAACATTTTAGATCATTAATATAAACACTGTAGTAATAATTCTAAATTTCTAACATGGAAATGTTTTCAAAAGCATTCTCATTTTAATGTTTAATCAAATCTTATTAAACCCTGTTGTCTACCAAATGTGACTAAATGCTCAATCTTTACAAAAATGTTTCACAACTTCAAATCCTTGCTTAGCTTTTCACCTTTATTTAGAAATTAAGATTCTGCACAATAATATAATATTTGTTTTTAGCTTTTTGAGGTCTATTTATGACTTAAATAGATATTTATTTGAATTTACTATTTGAATAAACTTTTGTAGCACAGCACCATAAACCCATAAGAACTGTTAAATACTTACAAGAACATGGATACCTTCTTTCTCCACAAGAGTAGTGTCATAAGTTGCTTCACATACTCTTACTATTGTGGTAACTCCATACTTCTTAAGTTCCTGGATAAAACGTACATTAAAAAAATCTTAATGTTTAACCACATCACTATAACTCAACATTTTATATTCTGATCATCTCTGATCAGTAAGTATGCTGGTTAACAGAAGATCATTTAAAGAATGCTAGAATCCATTTATGTTTAACACAAAAGCAAATTTTGTTTTAAGTGACAATGCTAGAATATAAAAAGAAAAGTGAATATTAAATACCATACATATTTTTAATAAACTGGAAAAGTTTTCCTTCTTTTGTTTAAATTGTGTGCCCCCTTCATACACTGAAGTTGTTTACAGTCATGGTAATACCGGATTGGGATGAAACATTAACCAAAAGGGGCTAGCAGCAATGCAGACAAAGGTAAATGTAACTAAAGGCATTATTTATAACTAATCGGGTAATCTGACTTCACTCAATTATACTCACTCCTTAAACTTTACTGATTTACATTGAATGAAGTCTTAACTACAGTAAAAAAGCCCACATACCATTTAAAACTACAGGCTTCAAAATGCATTATTACTAATTACATATTACTAATATAATATACTATTATATACACTATATAGTATATATTAGTGTATATATAATATATAGTAATAAAAATTAAAGTACCATTAAAGTATTTCCCAGCCAGGCGTGGTGGCTCACCTGAGGTCAGGAGTTCGAGACCAGCCTGGCCAATATGGTGAAACTACATCTAAAAATACAAAAATTAGCTGGGCAAGGTGGCGTACGCCTGTAGTCTCAGCTACTTGGGAGGCTGAGGCAGGAGAATTGCTTGAACCCGGGAGGCAGAGGTTGCAGTGGGCTGAGATCATGCCACTGCACTCCAGCCTGGGTGACAGAACGAGACTCCATCTCAAAAAAAGGAAAAAAAAGTATTTCCATTATGTTCTGAGAGGCCTATTTGCTATTTCTTAACAACTGTAGGTATTTATAAAATAAAACATGTGCACATCCCGATATATTATTCAGCATTCAATTCCTTTCTCCTAGTAAAAAGAGGCAGGTAGAGTTTTGGCTACATAGCTACCATTAGGAAGGAACAGAATTTGTAGTTGAAAATTGGATTCTAAGCATCAGATGGGGTTCAAGAAAAACCAACTGGTTTATGGCATTAGTCATTAGGTTAAGCAGATATATAAAAAATCCATAAATGGCAACCTTTCCCATGTAAATTTCTTACAAGATAAGTAAGAGCTATACTGTTTTACTGTCCACATACCAATTCAAGCAAACTCAGGTACAATAACTATTAACTCAAGCACATGCCCTTCTCAAAATGTACAAATATACCTCTAACCTATAGAAGACATTGACATTTATTTCTGGGAACTGGAATTGTAGGTATATCATCTCATTTTTTCCAAAGTAGTTTTTATTTTGTTAGCTATAAGTCCCACTATTATATTGCAATCAATTTAAGCTACTAAAACATATCAAATCTTACCTCTATAAATTTGTTTAAGGTCGCATTGGTTGGATTGTGTGTAATAAGAAATCTCATGTTCTTGTATGTGACTTCCACAGGAGCTGGGCGGTTCATTCGAGCCATGTTAATTTAGTTAAAAAACACTCAATAGGGTTATGAAATAATTAAAAAAATTGAATACAGAAATGATGCAAAGAAACTGAAGTCTACTTCAATATACTCCACTTGAAATTCTCAGTGCTTTGAGTATGAAGTTGTAAGTAATGATAAGTGAAATGAACCTCCTAACAAGAAGCAGCAATTCTTCAATCCAGTAATACTGAGGCCAACAGAAAAGAAGTGCACTGAGGTTTACCCCATCCAGGTCAGAACTCTTGTAAAATGCTCTGTGGATTTCAATTCAACACTTCTGTGTCCAGGATAACCACTCTTATGGGGGCTTCTTGGTGGAGCAGTAATCAGTTTCTACAGTTCACTTGTCTGCATAGAGGTCGTGCTGTGCCTGGCAGTAATCTCCACTGCCCTTCAGAAACTCCATAAATGTGTGACCAAGAACACCACAGAATTGCTGTTTAAAAGAAAAAGACAGAAAGAGAGAATAAGTTATTTTCCAATTCAAAAGAAATACATTAGGGTTTTACACTATTTAAGTACACAACTATTTTTCTAAAGCAGGGCCTGAGCCGCTTCATCGACTTTTACTTGAATTGCAAAACTCAAGGGGTGAGTACAGATTAAATCAATCAGCATAAAACAAGCAGTCAGATAGATTAAACTGAAATCCATGATCTATTACCAAGATTCCTCAGAAAAAAAAACCAAACCCATTGTTACATTTTTGTGAAATTCATATATATATTCATATATATTCTATCTAGTTATATTCTCTGTATATATACTATCTATATATAATATATAATTATATGATTCTAATAATTATCCCTTTCGATAGTTGTTTTCTTTACATTGTAATTACATACACTTTATGTTGATTTTTCCAACTAACAAAAACATTTTTACACATTAATACAAACTCCAGATAACTCTGAAGTTATTAGTCTTGCATAATTTACTTAACTCATAAACTGAAACATCTAAGTTCTTTTCCAACTTTATGCTTTTATATCCTTTTCTTAGACTGATTTAAGTCCTATATTTAGAATCTCACTTTATCCTTAACAATCTGTTATCATTCCCATTAAACTGAAGACGAGGAAAATGAGTCTCTGAAAATCAACTTGTTATGTGAAATATCATAAGAATGTATGCTTATGAATCTAAAAAGGAAACAACTCTCATTTATAACTGTAAAGAAAATATTCATAATTTTAATAATGTTCTTTTGTATTTTAAAACCAAAATTTCACATATACAACTCAAAACTGAAATCCAACTCAGAGAAGGCGGACAAAGGGATGTTGAAGGTGGAAGTGGCAGGTCTCAAAAGCAAGGTAACTACTGTAACCAATAAATATAAACAAATATGAATGTATTTATATTTTCTCTAAGTTCCCCCTTAAGAACTAAACCATTTTTATGCCAATATCAAACATTAAACCAATAGTCACAGCATATTTTTAAAATATGTACATGGAAGACACTGATGTTAATAATCAGTCTTCTTCCAAATAGTTTATAAGGTACTTGTGTACTCGGGAGTAAAGAGGGCACTAAGGAAAGTATTAATAACAGGTTAACAAGAGCAGTAATTCATAGTCACTGCCTCAAGCACTTCATGTGTACTCTCATTACCAAAGTGTTTTAACAAAAGGTTCCATTAGTTTCCATGCTTAAATTTAAGCATTTGAAGTCTTAAAATTAAAATTCAAACGATCTGCTCCCATTTCCATTTTACACCTTTAAATAGTCCCATGCTAGTTATAGTTTCTAGAACTTTGCTAAATTTTGAAGAATAATTCTTATGATGATTACTGCAGAAAACATCAAGTCAAAAACCCAGTCTACTTTTCTGGTAAAACATACAACTAGCATTAACAATCATTTATCAAAAGGTCCCATAAAAAAGGTAACTTTCATTATCACAAGTTTGTTCAAACAAGCCCTCAGAGGTTACTTCACCTAGTTGGTCAGCTGGGTTAAAAAATTAAGTGTCTAAATTACAAAGCCATCACAGTTACAGTGAATACAGATTGTAGTAATCTGAAAATAATTTCATTATACTTTCACCCCAAATTCTAAATACAACCTCCGTAGAATAAAAAGTGTATTCTGACACTTTCCCAATGACATACAATGATCTTTAAAAGCTTTATAATGACTCATCACAGTATTCTAATTTCTAGGTATTACCTTTTTTTCAATTAAAAGCTAATTTGAGGCAGTATTTCACACCACTATTTCCATATTTAATAGCTAAAACTCCTGTCGGCTACAACCTAGTCTGGCCATATCCCTTCATGTAAGTAAGCACTTTCATCAGGAAGCAGAGAAAGAACTATATTAAGAATTCCCTTCCTGAAATGGTTATTTTTACTGAGTGGAGCCACCTAGTGGATGGGGGGACTCGTCTGTTAAAGCAGTGGTGGCCACCGATAGATTTCTGTTCCGCCCAAGACACTCCTCCATTCCCAATCTCCTACCCACAGGAAAAACTATCCATAATGGGGATTTTTTCCCTCCCACCTATCAGTTGCATTATAATCACAATCATATACAAGAAGGGAGAGGAGGAAAGAGTAATCTCTGTGCAGAAGCTTAAATCATTATTATACTGCAGAGTCAAGCCAATTAATGTGTGTAACTCCTTTGTCACAAACAATTCGTTGTATAGTCTGTTCCACATCTATTTAGGTCTTAGGGCACCTAAGAAAGCATGTGTAAAATGCTGCTCACTCTTGGGAATGATTTAGTTTTCTAGTTTTCAACTGACTGAGTAACAGGAAGCACTGCCTCAGGATCTAGATGTCGGGCAGGTCAACAGTTCCAATCGTAGTGTAAATAACTTAATACTCGTGGACTGGTAGGGGGCTCCGCGGACAGAAGATAAAAAACCCTCAGAATTCCGTCTCTGGTTGGCTACTGCTGCCACAAACCAACAGGAGGCAACAACATATTACACCACAGAGCTCAGGGATAGTTCTAAACAGTCCCCGATTAAAAGGCGCCATCCAGGGCCCTTCCAAAATTGGCAGGGGAAATGTATGCTGGTGCCCGGACGGGAAGTCCTTCGCGTCAGTGTAACTAACAGTAGCCCTGTCAGTTTCCAAGACGCTCCGAACCAGGCCATTTCTCGACGACTGGCCCAGAGAAAGGACAAGACTAGACTTGTTCCCATTATCACGAGCCCGAGGTGGGGCGATAAATCCGGAACAGCTCGAATTACCAGGTGGAGCCTGGGAGGAGGGCGGGGCGGACGGCCGAAGTTCTCACCTAGCAGAACCCCACTCTGGCCCGGGCAGGGGTGCAGCTCGCGGAATGCCCCAGAGGGCCGCCGCCCCGCGCACGCGGCTGTGTGCGCCCGAGCACGCCCGCTGCGCCCCCTCTCCGCGCCGCAATCACGGGTTCGCGCCGCGCCTTCAGTCAGGCGCGGGCGCCGAGGCCATTTTGTCTGAGGCTCGGGTCCCGGCCGTCGAGCACAAGAGTGTAGCTGCACCCAGTGGCTGTCCCGCGCCCACCCCGGAGCTCCGAGAAGCTCTGGAACCAGATCGTTACCACCCGTGCCTGGCTGTCCGGCCTACCCCACGCCCGCCCGGATCTGGAGGCGAACCCGCCACCGCCGCGCCCTCCCCGTATCCGGCTCCGCAGTGACACGCGCAGCCCTCGCCCCACCCCGGGCCACGTCTCCCGCTCCCAGTGCAGCCACTCTCCTCCGGCCGAACAAAGAGGCCCCGGGACGCCGCGGAGCCTGCCATGCCCGGACGGGTCGCGCCAGACCAAAGGGCCAAGGGCGGAGGCGGCGGTCACAAAGCGGCTTTTGTGCCACCCACCCGGCCCGCTGCGGAAGCCGAAACTGCCCCCGGCCGCCGCAGAAGCCGGACCGCGCCGCCCCCGTCGCTCCGGGCTCGGGAGGGACTCAAAAGCCGGTGCCTCCGGCGGCCAACCGCCACCCCGCAGCCCCGAGGGGCCCGGCATCTGCCTCCGCACAGCCGGCCGCAATCGGCCGGCCACAGGGCCATAACCCGCCCGCTCCCACCCGGGACCCACCGGAACCGCAACCCGGGGCAACCTGGAGGAGACGCCGGGCTCCGAACAAAGGCGACAGCGGGGATGGGGGGCCGGTCGTGGATTCCCAGCCCGAGAGGCGACGATGCGACGGCTACTCACAGGAATATGTTTACTCATTGAAGATTGTGGCCTAATCATACAGCCGGTCCCGAGGCGGCGGCGACACAGGCGGTGGCGGTGGCTGCAGGGCAGGAGGCGGCGGTGGTCGTGGCGGAGCGGCGGTGGCGGCGATGCAGGCGGCGGCGGGGGCACCAGACTCTACCATGCAGTGAGCGGCTCGGAGCAGAGCGCGTAGCCGAGCCGGCCCGCAGCCGAAGGAGCCAATACACGCGCCGAGGCGCCCTTGCGTCACAAGCCCTCCCCTTTATAGCCGGCGCGACGTGCAACCCTCCAGCCACCAATCGCGGCCTGGAACCGCGGGCCAGGAGCCGACAGGCGGGGGCGGAGGCCCGCCCCCTCCGGACGTCACTCCGCGGCGGCCGCCGCCGGTGTGAACCGGTTGATGAATGGCTAAGCGCCGAGTCGGAGCATCCCCGGGGCGGGGGAGGGAAGGGGCTGCCGGGAGTGCTCCGGGATGCAGGAAGCCTGAAGTTAAGAAGGGGTGGGAGCGAGAGAGATTCCGATTTATCGACTGGAAGGAATCATGCTGCAAACCACGTTTCTCATAATTAAAACGGTCCAGGAGTGCACACATGTCACATGAGGAGACTCGAAGTTTGCCTGAATCGTAAAATGCAATCCTTCTAGGGCTGGAACCGCGTCTCAGTGTCGAGCCTGCTTTCTACTGCCTTAACCACGGTCATCTTTGCCAGTGGTTTACCTTGGCACCTGGGCCCCGAGTACCTTCGTCATCAAATAATATTTATGTCGCAAGACCGCTGTACCCGGTGACTCAACACCTTGCATGCCACGGCCTTAGGCTTGGTCAAGATGAATTCTTGTCCCTGGGGGCGCTTTCAAGCGGGGAGAAACTTACCTTCGCAAAACTTAAGGCTATAGAAGATGGGGAGAGTATCTTTTGATGCAGACGAAGCCCTATGCTCCCTATATTCTTTTTTTGATCACACCTCTCTATACTACGTACGCGTGCAACTGCAGTTGGCTCAATTGTGGCATTTCGAAATCACATGCATCCTTTGTACTGCTGCTCACTTGATATGTTGTCTCAGATAATGAAAGGTTAGGAAGTGCTTAAAGAAAGCGTTTTTAGAAATTAAGAATCCTCGGTTTTGTCAAGCACTGATGTAATTCTTTGCGTCAAAGCTAAAGCTCTTCTTTATGTTCGTTTTCAGTCCTCTTTTACTGACTTCATTATTTAAGCCCCTAAGAAGTAAAGTCTTATCGCAATTCTGTGCCATACAAGGGCACCTCTGTTATTTATAATCTGAAAACCCTTTCTCCTCAGCTCTGGAGAAGGACCAAACAGGACCTTTACCTGCTTTTTAAGAACTCAGTTTTCCACTAACACTGAAGCCTTTTGTTTGTTATTTTCACCGAGTATGAGATTGGAGAGGGCTTTAGGGATCAAATTTTGTCCTCTTTCAGTGCCCTGCAACATCTTAGGATTTATTAGAACTTCTATTTAGAGACTGGTTGTATAGTTATTCAACTTTCTTAACTCTGTAAGTAAAATAAGAACTTTAAAAAAACAAAAACAAACAAAATCCTGGGCCAGACTTTCAAAGGAACAAAAACTCTTCGTCATTTGGAAGAAAATGGCTCACCTACGACACATTTTAATCCATTAAAATCAAGGAAAACTAGCACACTTGAGAAATATGTCCCTTTACAAATAAATGATTTAAAAAAGTAAAGACTTTAAAATCTTAAATTCTAAGAAAATATAGAAAGCTTAAAAATCTTGGGTGGTAGGGGCAAAGCTAAGCAGGCTGGGGAACTCATGTCGAAAAAAAGGGACAGATTTCATATATAAGAACTAAAAACTTTTATATGGCAAAAGGCTTTTGACAAATGTCAATTTCACACTGGGGGAAATATTGGTGATACTTCATGGGTAGGGTTAATATAAAAAGCTTGGCCAATGTATATAATAGTGTAGTTAAAAAGCACATATTCAGTCAGCCACTCTTACTCCACAAGTTGGTAAACACAGATAATTGGAATAGTGAAACTTTTTCATGTAATGGCATTTCAAAAAATACATTTGGTGGGACAAGATATAAACTCAGCAAATGATTAACAGAGCCAAATATGTGTTAGCCAATTTTCTTGTAGAACTTGTGATACAAGTTGTGAGCCTTGTGATCCACAGATCCTGTAATTACCACAAGCAGTGCTGACACGAAGTATCCAGTCAGCTATGCTCATCAAGTTCTAAAAGCTCTCAAATTCTCAAGTGGCCTGGGGGTCTTAGCCTCTCAGACAAGGTACCATCTTATCCTACTATGAAAGTAACATATTTAAAGGATGAAAAAATAAGGCTTTTGCTGTTGAGAGAAACGATGCATTTTATTTTATGTATTTATTTGAGATGGAGTCTTGCTCTTTTGCCCAGGTTGGAGCACAGTGGTGCAATCTTTGCTCACTGCAACCTCAGCCTCCTGGGTTCCAGCAATTCTCCTGCCTCAGCCTCCCAAGTAGCTGGGATTACAGCCACCTGCCACCACACCTGGCTAATTTGTTTGTACTTTTAGAAAACTCCATGTTGACTAGGCTAGTTTTGAACTCCTGACCTCAAGAGATCTGCCTGCCTCAGTCTCCCAAAGGAAAGGACACATTTTAAACAAGATATAAGTGTGGTCTTGCTGACCAATCCATTAAATGTTCCTGCTTGTCAGCTGCCATTGTGGTTCACTGCTATGCTGAGGGTGTCTGCTGTATTTAGTTTAATACTTTTAAGCTGCAGATTCTTGGAGAACAGTAGAACATCCCAGCATTGGTCAGGAGACTTCTGTGATTTGAGGACTCACTAACCCTTACAGACTTGCACTCAGAGCATTAGCACCTGTACTTATTTAAAGTGGGTCTCTAACAGACTTGAAAATAGTGCTTCCAGACATCAAAAAGGGAGAAAACACCTCTAAAAGCCAATGCTTACTCTAAGCTCCAGGAGAGGCTCTAAAATAGAGGATTTTCTCTCCTGCTAAACAAGATTCTCAGCTGGAAGTTACTTCTCTCAGCAAAACATGTGTCCTTAACCTCATCACGATAGGCAGGGCTTTCTATTGACAATTCAAAATATAAAAGCCAGCAGTTGGGAAATAAGACTAGAAGAATATTATAAGGAAGTTGAGCATGGTGGCATACAGGCTCATGCCTGTAATCCCAGTACTTTGGGAGACCAAGGTGGGTGGATCACCTGAGATTAGGAGTTAGGAGTTCAAGACCAGCCTGGTCAACATGGTGAAACCCATCTCTACTAAAAATACAAAAAATTAGCTGGGCATGGTGGCAGGCACCTCTAATCCCAGTTACTTGGGAGGCTGAAGAAGGAGAATCACTGGAAAGCTGGGAGGCAGAGGCTGCAGTGAGCCGAGATCATGGCACTGCACTCTAGCCTGGGAGACAGAGTGAGACTTCATTTCAAAAAAAGAATATTATAAGCGATATTTTTATGGAAGAGGAAAGACTGCAGAAGGCAAGAGTGCAGAGGAAGATTGGCAAATCTTGATGAAGAAGAACAGAGAAATCTTCACAAGAACAGCAGATCTAGTAAACATTGATTCCATTTTACCAAGTTTACAAAAGGAGTGAAGGATTCCTTGATTTTCAATCTTCTCAGATTGGTTGGGGCTACAAGGAAGTCTGATAAAAACATTTAACATAGCAAGAGTAATATCATTGCCATAATAGATTAAACGTGACAATATCAACCTAGAAAAAGACACTAGATTGCAAGGTATAATGACAGTCTAGCAAATATATGTAATAGAGGCAAATACCCCAATGGGCCATAATCTAGTAAGTGTCTGGATACTAGTGCAGAGGGTAAGTTCCCATACCCATATTTAACAAGAGTCCTAAAAATTCAAGTATGCCATGGCTGCTGTCAGCATTGTTAAAGTTTATTTCCCTCTTGCTGTTTTAGAACAGCCTATTTTATATCCAATTAATTTTCTTATATGATTATTAAAAATAAATATGTAGTATACAGGCATACCTTCATTTATTGTGCTTTGCAAATATTGTTTTTTTTTTTTAACAAAATGATGGTTTGTGACAGCTTTTTGTCGAGCAAGTCTATCAGAGCCATTTTTCCAATAGCATGTGCTCATTTCATGTCTCTGTGTTACATCTTGGTAATTCTCCCAATATTTCAAACTTTTAAATTATTATTGCATTTGTTATGGCAATTTGTGAACAGTGATCTTTGATATTGTTATTGGAATTGTTTTGGGCCACCACAAACTGTACCCATTTAAGATGGCAAACTTATTTGATAAATGTTGAATATATTCTGACTGCTCCGCTGATGGGCCAGTCCCTCAGTGAGACACAGCAATACTGAAATTAGGCCAATTAATAACCCTACAGTGGCCTCTGAGTGTTCAAGTGAAAGGAAGAGTCATTCATCTCTCACTTTAAATCAAAGCTAAAAATGATTAAGCTGAGTAAGGCAAGTTGAAAGCAGAGATAGGCCGAAAACTAGGCCTCATACCCAAAACAGTCAAGTTGTGAATGCCAAGGAAAAGCTCTTGAAGGAAGTTAAAAGTGCCACTCCAGTGAACACAGGAATGATAAGAAAGTGAAACAGCCTCATTGTTGATAAGGAGAAAGTTTTAGAGTTCTGGATAGAAAACCAGCCACAGCATTCTCTTAAGTCAAAGCCTAATTCAGAGCAAGGCCTTAACTCTCTTCATTTTTATGAAGGCTGAGAGAGGTGAGGAAGTTGTAGAAGAAAAGTCTGAAGATAGCAGAGGTGGATTCATGAGGTTTAAGAGTAGAAGCCCTCTCCCTAACATAAAAATGAAAGGTGAAGCAGTAAGTGCTGATGGAGAAGCTGCAGCAAGTTATTGAGAAGATTTAGCCAAGAACATTGATGAAGGTGGCTACACTAAATAACAGATTTTCAATGTAGACAAAACAGTCTTATACTGGAAGAAGATGCTGTCCAAGACTTTCATAGCTATAGAAGTCAATGCTTGGCTTCAAAGCTTCGAAGGACAGGCAGTTCTCTTGTTAGGGGCTGATGTGGCTGGTGACTTTAAGTTGAAGCAGATGTTCATTTACCATTCTGAAAATCCTAGGACCCTTAAAAATTATGCTAAATCTACTCTGCTGTGCTCTATAAGTGGAAGAACAAAACCTGGTTGACAGCACATCTGTTTAGCATGGCTCACTAAATATTTTAAGTCCACTGTTGAGACCTACTGATAAAACGTGATTTATTTAAAAATACTATTGCTCCTTGACAATGCACATGGTCACTGAAATGCTCTGATGGAGATGTACAAGGAGAGTAATATTGTTTTCATGCCTTCTAACACAGCATCCATTCTGCAACCCATGGATCAAGGAATAATTTTGACTTTCAGGTTTTAATATTTAACAAGTACATTTCATAAGGTTATAAATTGCTGTAGATGGTGATTCCTCTGATGGATCTAAGCAAAGTAAACCAAAAACATTCTGGAAAGGATTCTAGATGCCATTAAGAACATTCATGAGAGGAGGTAAAAGTATCAGCATGAACAGGAGTTTGAAAGAAGTTAACTCCAACTCTCATGGATGACCTTGAGGGCGTTCAAGACTTCAGTGGAGGAAATCACTACAAATATGGTGAAAATAGCAAGACAATTGGAGTTAGAAACAGAGTCTGAAGAGTTGACTAAATCGCTGCAATTTTATGATCAAACTTGAATGAATGAGGAGTTGCTTCTTATGAAGGAGAAAAGAGAGTGGTTTCTTGAGATAGAATCTACTGCTGGTGAAGATGCCGTAAGCATTGTTGAAATGATAAAGGATTTAGAATATCACATAAACTTAGCTGATAAAGCAGTGGGTGAGTTTTAAGAGGACTGATTGCAACTTTGAAAGGAGTTCTCTTGTGTGTAAAATACTATCAAACAGCACTGCCTGCTACAGAGAAATTTTTTGTGGAGTCATCAATGCAGCAAACTCCATTGTCTTATTTCAAGAAATTGCCACAGCCACCTTAACCTTCAGCAACTACCTCCCTGATCAGTCAGCTGCCATCATCACTGAGGCAGGATTCTCCAACAGCAAAGATTATGACTTGCTGAAGGCTCAGATGACTGTTAGCATTTTTTAGCAAAAGTATTTTTAAATTAAGGTATTCTAGGGTACCCGTTTTCCCCACTTCCTTTCTGTGTCTTGACCAAAATCACAGTGACCCAGCCAGCTGTAGCCATAGGTTTTCCTCAGCTGGCTTGAACCCAAACCAGCTTGAACATTCCCAGGCACTGATAATAATGTCTTGGTTTACTGGAAAGAAACTGACCCCGACCCTGAGCCGAATTCCTTAAATTTTCATGTAAACTCCATCCCCTCACCCCCTGGCTACAGACTAATGTGGGTAAAACATCCCTTTTCTCTTGCTGTCCATCACAATAATACATTGCAACACCCTGCAAGTTCCTTTAATAAATGTTTTGGACTGATCACTCTGGCATTTAGAGCTGCTTTCTTTGAAATCTCAAACCAGCCCTGTCTTCAAATGGTTTGGGGTACTCTGTTGTACGAATTCTCCTGCTGCTGCTTTTAAGGCAACTCCAGCTATGGGTTCAGTGGGACAAAACAGGTATGTACATTTTTTAGACATAGTGCTATGCACATTTAACAGACAACAATGTAGTGTAAATGGGAAACCAAAAAATGCATGTGGCTTCCTTTATTGTAATACCTGTTTTATTGTGGTGGTCTGGAGCTGAACTTGCAATATCTCCAAGGTATGCCTATGCTTAAATCTCTATGAACATATAATTTGCAGTGCTTAAATATTGTTCAAAACTAAAACATGCTCTATATTAAAAAGTGACTTAATTTTCTTCCTTAAGACATTGATTTAAAGATTTATCAAAAGTCTTTTGAGTAAGTTTTGATGAATAATCAAAATGCTGTAGCAGAGCTACATCCTAATTTCTGTGGGAAATTTAGACACAGAAATTTCCAATGAGCAAATAAGCTTGTCACAACAAGCCTTTTAAGGAATCTGGCCTAAGGACAAAGTCCAAAGGCCAATAGCTGCCTGTGGGCTACTGTGTTTTGTTGAGTCAGACATATAGAAACAGTCACCCACCTAGGAGGGTACTACAGATGTAAATATTTATATTAATAAATGAATCCTGCTGGATCAGAAGTAACATCTTATCAAGTCATCATATCAAACCATTTGAGGTAATATTTTCTCTGTAAAATTGATTAAGGCAGTTTTGAACAACTTTTTTTTTTAAAGTCTATTTTAAGAAACAATTCTCTTGAATCGATCTCTATTATGCCCATTCTCTGTCCCTTTTTCATGTCTAATTGTAATCAATTTAAATATAAACCTGAAAGTTGTCTAGGTAGTCTCCAAATCAAATGAGAATGTGTATTCACATTAGTAACTCTGCCGCTTAATATAGTATTTACTTCTGTAGGAGCTTAGTGTGTGTATTAAGATGTGACAGATACCGCCTGGGCAACACAGTCAGACCCTGTCTCTACAAAAAAAAAAAAATTATCTGGGCATGATGGTGCATTCCTGTAGTTGTAGCTCCCTCGGAGGTTGAGGTGGGAGGATTGCTTGAGCCCAGGAGTTGTTAGGGCTGCAGTGAGCTGTGATCATGCCACTGCACTCCATCTGGGGCAACAGACCAAAGACCCTCTCTCTCAAGGAAAAACAAAAAAGAAATGATGGACAGATTGATTAGTAAGAGAATACTTTTCATTTGCATGCTGAAAGGCACCATTTCCTTGGGGCACTGAATAAAGGACTTATTATGAATCTATCCATAACTCATGACTGTTTTGCCTACTGGTACCTGGAGGAATCTAGTTTGAGAAGACTCTTCTTATTTTAGCAAATTTGGTGAAATTTCTGTTGCTGTTCTATAGCCTGAATAAAAATCATTTGGGAATTGAAAATCAGGAAGGCCACAGTCTCCATGTGATTGTTTAGAACATGTTGAATTATGCCACAGTCTGAACTGAGGCAAAAATAGCTTAGGAAAGGAGAATTTAATCTGGCTAGAGAAAGGGAATGGAGTATAAATAAATTTTAAAGGTTGGATATGCATGCTATGGCAAAGCTGTCACTTGACAGGTTTAATTTACAGAGTTGGCATTTAGGCTGCAGATAATCCAGACAGACAGTGACCTAAGCAGCATTACTGGGGCAGGCCTTACATAAGGAGAAATGTTGTTGAACAATTTCCTGCAAGCATAATAACATTTATTTAACAAAAGCTACAACAGTCATGCTTTTTTCTTATCCTAACACAGTTGCTTTTTAACTAGGGATGTTCAACAAACGTTGCTATCTTCGTGTATTTCTATAGTTCCATTCATGGCTGGAAGATACTGAACATAAGAGAAAATGAGTATAGAAGCCTTTTGAAATTTCTCTCTTTTTTTTTTTTTTTGAGACAGAGTCTCGCTCTGTCACCCAGGCTGGAGTGCAATGGTGCAATCTTGGTTAACTGCAACCTCCGTCTCCCGGGTTCAAGTGATTCTCCTGCCTCAGCCTCCCAAGCAGCTAGGATTACCAGGCACCTGCCACCACACCCGGCTAATTTTTGTATTTTTAGTAGAGATGGGGTTTCTGCATGTTGGCCAGGCTGGTCTCGAACTCCTGACCTCAAATGATCCGCCTGCCTTGGCCTCCCAAAGTGCTGGGATTACAGGCGTGAGCCACCATTAAATATAGTTGTCCTATAATGTATTTCTTTAATCCTCAGACATATTAATGCACATAGTAAATACTCAACCACTATTTATTTGCATACTATCATATTACTTTCCCACATAAAATTCTATTAGGGCATCCTATTCCCAGTTTTTCTAAGTTTTCTTTGCAGGGTTCTTAGTCTCTCAATCCCGTTAACAATGGTGTTCACTGGAGTTTTGTCCTAGGGCCTCCTGGACTCACTTTCCACTTTCCTTGGGGTTTTCACCTACATCCATAGCTGTGGCTGTCAACCTTCCCTCCTTCCCCAACACATATGTGTTAAATGCCTAGCATATGCCAGGCACTCTGCTATCTTATGAATAACATAAACATGTTTTCTGCCCCAATGAAATTTATATACAGGTGAGAAAAGAGAGAAAATAACAAGTAAATAAGCATAGAATATATTTATAATCTGTGCTGTGAAGGAGGTCAACAGAATGGCTGGGGTGACTTACTTTAGACAGTGAAGTCAGGGGTGGTGTCTCCCAGGAGATCCAGATCTAAATGATGAGAATGAATCACAAAAAGAGGGGGAGGAAGAGAGATATTTTTGGTGGAGGAAATGACAACACAGAATTTCAGGTGGGAGTTTGGTTGGTACTCAAGGAGTTGGAAGACCTGAGGGACTGCAGCAATACAAGGGAAGGAAATAAGCCTGGACATCTAGCAGGGACTGGATCACGTAGGACCTTGTAGGCCATGGAAAGGATTTGGATTTATTTTGCTGACAGTGAATCACACCACATATCAGGAAATTTGTTTTAAGAGAATTGTTTTTCTGTTCTGTGGAGAATGGATTGGAGAAGGCCCTAGAGTAGAATTATTTTAACAGGGTGAAACACTTGAGATTTCCTGCCTTGTCAAATGGAAGACAATGTTGGTGTTGACTATGATCAGGACAGTGGAGGCAGAGAAAAGTGGAGAGATTAGAAATATGGAAATAAAATGGAGAAGTTTTACATCACAAAATGCCACACTGCCTCTAAAAATTGTCAAAGGCCAAACAGAGATATAAGGCCATGGTTTTGAGCCTGTTTTATGCTATGGTGCTGAATGTATAGGCACACTGATGAAAAGTTCCATAATTTCACATTTTCATTAGCAATATGTTTGTAGGGAATAAACCAGAAACTTAAAATAAATAAAGGCACTCAAAGTATGCTTAGAGAAAGACACTATTTCTGAGGGTTTTGAGAATATAGCAGCGGGACTCCTAAAAGTTGTATATTTAGGTATTAAGAGAACAATTAAACTCTTGATAGATTACAATAACAGCAAGAATAGCTAAAACTTATTGTGCTCTTGTTGTTTTCCAAGCCATGTGCTAAACACATATTTGCACTGTTTTGTTGAATTTATTAGAATACTCAGACTCTGAGATAGAAATTAGTTAAAAAATCAACTCATAGTGGGTGATATCACTTGAAGTATCTATATAATGAAATACTTTTCGGATATTAAAAGTATCTTGCCAGTCAAGGTGGCTCACGCCTGTAATCCCAGCACTTTGGGAGGCCAAGACAGTTGGATCACTTGAGGTCGGGAGTTCGAGACCAGCCTGACCAACATGGAGAAACGCTGTCTCTACTAAAAATACAAAATTAGCTGGGTGTGGTGGCACATGCCTGTAATCCCAGCTACTCGGGAGGCTGAGGCAGAAGAATCACTTGAACCCGGGAGGCGAAGGTTGTGGTGAGCTGAGACCGCACCATTGCACTCCAGCCTGGGAAACAAGAGCAAAACTCTGTCTCAAAAAAAAAAAAAAAGAAAAAGAAAATATCTTAATGTCTTTAAGATAAATAAATAATTGTAATGTTAAATAAAAAGAAATGCTATAAAAATAGAAAGAAATAAACTAAAATGTTAACAGGTAATAACTGACATTTAAATACTTTATGGGTGTCACTGGGTGATGTGATGATAAACAATTTTTTATTTATAACTTCCTATATTTTGTATTTTTTTTCCAAAAATGATACTCTTACAGTTGGGGAAAAATCATTTCAGATAAATGCTCAAAGAGGTTGCACCGATAGGTCTGTAGCCTTATTGTACTCTCTGCAGCAGAGATAGAAGCACCAGGTTATCCTAACCTGACAGCAGCTGTCAAAAACTTTATAATCACTTTCGTTCTGATTCCATGTTCTTGGATAGTTGATCTGATTATAATTTACTTTCAATGTGTATTTGTTTGCCATCAAATGTGAGAATATAATGCCCAACCAGTGAGAAGCTCCCTGGGAAATTAAAGTTGTTTATGTATCATGTTTGTGGCTATAAACCAAGAAATCACCTCTAAACGTTTGGAAACATCTAAAACCCAAGGTGACTTGGGTATAACCTAAGTCACCTGGGTTGTGATTGTAAGTGCCCTGGAATGTGATTGTAAGCGGAAACAAAATCAATTTTATTTTATCTGCCCAGAGGAAGATTGTGAGAACAGAAGGAAGATGATGACTGGGTACACAGAATAGAAAGGTCTAAAGATATGAAGGTTGTCAGTGTTTATCAGGCACTGTCTAGGGAAGAGGCATTGAATCTGTACTGAATGTGCTGGTTGTTGTAGAAATATACCTTATTATAGGATAGTATTAATAACATTGACTGACATTTATTGAGTGCTTACTATGTGTTGGGTATTAAGCACTATATTAAACCTTTCATAAATCTCTCCAGATTGATATTACTCCCATTATAAAAATCAGGACATGCAGCCTCAGAAAGCTTAGGGTCATACAAGTATTATGTGATGCAGCTGGAATTCAAATTCCAGTGGCTTAACTGCAAGAGTCCCTGCTTCCATCACTCTGTTAGGCTGTACTCATGGCCTTGAAATATCCCTTAAGGTTATTTACTTTCTTATGCTCTGGTTCTTTGCTAAACAAACAAGCTTTCAATTATTAATTTGGCTTCCTACGTGTTCTGATCCTGTAAAGGAATTATTCCATTACAAAGGCACTGGCATTTGGGCTTATATTTCATCCTTCCATGAGTTTAGTAAAAGTGAATCATAAAATATGATTATGCAATACTTTACTGAAAATCTGCCCTTCCTTTTCATTCTGATGGCTACTTCAAGAGATGTTGTTCCCCAGACTAATGCTACTCTAAGTGTAGTCTGTGAACTGGTGCCAATCTATGAACTGTTACTGGTCTGAGAGGAGATAAGCATAGAAACTGAGAGCAAGCATTTAAAAACTTTTACAGCGATTTGACAGGGTAACTTTATTTCTATTGAACTTAATTTCAAAAATTAGGCTTTGTGGCTGGGTGCGGTGGCTCACACCTGTAATCCCAGCATTTTGGGAGGCTGAGGTGGGCAGATCACCTGAGGTCAGGAGTTCGAGACCAGCCTGGCCAACATGGCGAAAACCCATCTTTACTTAAAAAAAATACACAGATTAGTGGGCCATGGTGGTACACGCCTGTAATGCCAGCTAGGGTGGCTGAGGCAGGAGAATCACTTGAACTCGGGAGGCAGAGGTTGCAGTGAGTCTAGATCATGTGCACTGCCTTCCAGCCCGCCCAACAGAATGAGACTCTGTCTCAAGAAAAAAAAAAAAAAGGCTTTGTGTTTTGTTTTTTACTTTTCACTTCTTTTCTTTCTTTCTTTTTTTTTTTTTTTTTTTGAGACGGAGTCTTACTCTTGTCACCCAGGCTGGAGTGCAATGGCGTGATCTCAGCTCACTTTAACCTCTGCTGCCTGGGTTCAAGTGATTCTCCTGCCTCAGCCTCCCAAGTAGCTGGGATTACAGGCGCTTGCCACCACATCCCGCTAATTTTTGTATTTTTAGTAGAGACGGGGTTTCCCCATGTTTGCCAGGCTGGTACTTTTCACTTTTCAAGTAATTCATTTTTATTGAGAGGCACTATTGTAAATGATGAAAACTATGGAAATTGGTTAGATATGTTATGAAATGCATTACCGTGGGGTACCTTCCTTAGTCTTTCATGAATGAGGCCATTCCGTGATCTTCCACAATATTATATATTCCTGTTATGTCCATCCTGGGTTGCTGTTGTCACGAAAAAACACCATCTGGCCAGGCACGGTGGATCACCCCTGTAATTCCAACACTTTGGGAGGCCAAGGCAGGAGGATTGTTTGAGCCCAGGAGTTCGAAACCAGCCTGGGCAAACCTGCCTCAGACTCCCAAAGTGCTAGTATTATATGCATGAACGACCATGCCTGGCTGTGAAATTCATTTTTTTTTTCCTCTTTTGAGACAGAGTCTCATTCTGTCACCCAGGCTGGAGTGCAGTGGCGCGATCTTGGCTCACTGCAACCTCTGCTTCCTGGGTTCCAGTGATTCTCCTGCCTCAGCCTCCTGAGTAGCTGGGATTACAGGCATACACCACCATGCCTGGCTAATTTTTGTATTTTTAGTAGAGACAGGGTTTCACCATGTTGGCCAGGATGGTCTCCATCTCCTGACCTCATGATCCGCCCACCTCGGCCTCCCAAAGTGCTGGGATTACAGGTGTGAGCCACTGCACCTGGCCGTGAAATTCATTTTTTAAACCAAATGATTTTTTTTGCTGCGTTTAAGCCATTTTTCTTTTATTTAGTGTTCACTGTGAAAAGTAAATTTACTGTTTTTACAAGTAAGGATGGAAATGAAACTGTCAAATAGCTTTATACACTATCACTTCCCCCAAATAACTCCACTTAAGTCCTTGCTGTTTACAAGTATCATTATATTATGATCCTTTTAATTAATGTAGAACAGCTTTAATAATCTTTGTTACAAGGGAGTATTTATAAGATATTTTTCCTCATTAGCATGTTATTTGTAAATATGAACTGATTTTGGTGAAGTCAAACTTGTTGATTTCCCGCTAATGGACATGGTGAACATCATTGATTCATCTCTCCAGTGTTCTTTTGACTGATAAGGGGAGCAGAGTGAGCAAAATGATCTATCCTTCTCGCCTCCATACAGTCAAGCCATCCTTATGGCCTTTGATATGTCCTGTTTAAAGCTAATCACCCTTCAACATTTATTCAGTGCTTACTATGTGCAGGCATTGTAATAGACACTTTAGGAGCATTATCTAACTCTTACAACAATCCTACTTGACAGATGAGGCAACTCATTCCATATCTTTATTTCTTTCTTGAAACTCTCTTATGGGGGCCCCTGGGATGGCTTGTCTTCCTCTGCCTCCCTGCCCTATAGGTGTTGGTATTTTAAAGAATATTTCCTATTCTTTCTCTGTCATTCTTATACACTTTACAATTTCAGACTTACTTAGAGGACTTCTTTGGTCTCAACTTCCAAACATTCAAAGATGACCCTAAGATGTGCTTCCAGTAAAGTCTTCTCTTCTGAGCTCTGGATGTATTTATATTTCCATGGGATGAACTGAGGCACCTCATATTCAACATGGTTTAGGCTGAGCCAATAATCTCTCTTCCCCCATGAGACCTGTTCATTTTACTGTTATCATGAGACAATGACTGAAACCTTTGTCCTTCAGGTGCTCAAGCCACAGACATGGCAATCTTACTAGACTCCTCCCTTTTCTTCTTTTCTGTCTGACTGGCTACCACATTCTATTGAGTCTGGAGAGCAGTGGCTCAGAGATTGTCCCCCTCCTTCTAATTTTTTACTGTCAAAAGCCTTATTTGTTCATTTGTTCCTTCTTTCCTTCCCTGCTTCTTTCTCTCCTCCATCCCTCCCTCCTTCCCCCTTTTACTTCCTTCCACAATATTTTCTGAGTTGTATTGCAATAACTTAATTCAATGACTTGTCTTGTCCCATTTAATCCACCCTGCATTTTAAAAATGCATATGTGGCCGGGCACGGTGGCTCACACCTGTAATCCCAGCACTTTGGGAGGCCGAGGTGGGTGGATCACAAGGTCAGGAGTTCGAGACCAGCCTGGCCAATATGGTGAAACCCCGTCTCTACTAAAAATACAAAAATTACCCAGGCATGGTGGTGGGTGCCTGTAGTCACAGCAGGAGAATTGCTTGAACCCAGGAGGCGGAGGTTGCAGTGAGCCGAGATCGCACCCCTGCACTCCAGCCTGGGTGACAGAGCAAGACTCCGTCTCAAAAAAAAAAAAGCATATGTTCAGTATCATTTTAAAAAATGCATATCTGATCTTGCTATCCTCTTTCTCAAAATCCTCCAATGATCCTACACTGACTTTTAGATAAAGTCCAAACTCTTTCGCAAGATATTTAAGACCCTTCAAGATCATGACTGCCTTATAGCCCTACCTCGTGCTCCACTCCATTATGCTTTCTAGATGTTTGAAACCAACTGTGATTTCTAACATAGATGCCACATTTTCTCAGACCTCCATGGCTTTGTATCTGCAATTCCTTTTACCTGGAATTTTCTCTTGCTACTTCCCCTAAAACCTAGTATTAATTTATATTTTTATTTTTATGAAATGGAGTTTCACTCTGTAGCCCAGGCTGGAGTGTAGTGGTGCGATCTCGACTCACTGCAACCTCCATATATATATATATGGAGCAGTTCTCATGCCTCAGCCTCCTGAGTAGCTGGGATTACAGGCACGCACACTACACCAGATAATTTTTGTATTTTTAGTAGAGACAGGGTTTCACCATGTTGGCCAGGCTGGTCTCAAACTCCTGACCTCAGGTGATCCACCTGCATTGGCCTCCCAAAGTTCTGGGATTACAGGCATGAGCCACCATGCCCACACCTAATATTAATTTTTAAATTAAATTTTCCTGACTTCCTCATCAACACAGGTATTCCATTCCCTGTACTTCCATTGTACCTTGCAAATACCTCTATTGCAGCATTCATCCCATGATGATAATCATTTTTTAAATGTCATCTATCTCTCTCACACCCTTTGAAGAATTCCAAGACAAAGGCTGTGTTCTATTAATTTCCCTGTGCTTAACACAGTACTTGGCACATAATAAGTATTTAATAAGAAACTAGCATATTTCATGCTATAATTGTTTCATGCTTGATTTCAGGATGTTTGGATGACTGCGCTAGTGTTTGGTAGACAACAGAAACCCTGAGGAATAGGATCTGGCAGCAGACAATGAGATTAGAGGATGAAATCAAGAAGTGATGATGATAATAGATGGGTTTATCTTGGATAGTATCACCTAAGTGCTACAGATTGTTTACTAATTTCTGCTTGTTATATTTGGGCATTTCTTGTAAAAGTCGATTAACAACTCACTTTTACGTTACTGTTTAGAATAATCATACTTTTTATTCTTTGAAATGAATAACAAGAACTGACAAGCAGTATCAGTGACTCAGGAATAAATTATTGATGTAGTACAGATTCACCCAAAGCGATAGTGACATGCTGATCTTTTTGGCAAAGCCTTTGCTCAGAGAATTTTAGACTTAACTTCCCCTGTGGTATCATCCTCCCATTATGCATTATGAGGCATACAGAAACCACGCCCTGAGAAAAATACCTAACAAGGCACACCTAGGGCAATTTTGCCATAATATCGTTAAGTTGTTTTATTAGGCAGAGCATAGTGGCTCATGCCTGTAATCCCAGCACTTTGGCAGGCCAAGATGGAAGGATCACTTGAGCCCAGGAGCTTGAGACCAGCCTGGGCAACATAGTGAGACCTCGTCTCTACAAAAAAAGAAAAAAAAAGAAAAAGGCAAGAAAAAAAAAAACCAAGTTTGATGTTATACACCTGTATTCCTAGCTACTCTGGAGGCTGAGGCAGGAGGCACCCTGGAGCCTCGGAGGAAGAGCTGCAGTGAGCTGTGATTGTGGCACTGCAACAAAGCAAGAGCCTGTCTCAAAATAAATAAATCACAGTAAAAAATTTTTTAAAATTAAGAAAATAAACTGTTTTCTTGTATTAGGGTGATTAGATTCTTAGATTTGCAAAATGTGAACTTGAAAACTGGAGTAATTTTTTTGGAAATTTAGGGAAAATATTTCTATTGTCTTTATTGTGTTATACCAAAGAAAGGCTGAATAATATTAAAGTTTAATTGAGGCCAGGTACGGTGGCTCACTCCTATAATCCCAGGACTTTGGGAGGCTGAGGCAGGCAGATCACTTGAGGCCAGGAGTTCGCCAGCCTGGCCAACATAGCGAAACCCTGTCTCTACTAAAAATGCAAAAATTAGCTGGGTATTCTGGTACACACCTGTAATTCCAGCTACTTGGGAGACTGAGGCAGGAGAATCGCTTGAACTAGGGAGGCAGAAGTTGCAGTGAGCCGGGATCACGCCATTGCACTCCAGGCTGGGTGACAGAGCGAGACTCCGTCTCAAAAAAAAAAAAAAAAAAAGAGTGTAATTGAGAAGTGAATTGCATACTTTCTGTTGACTCACCATTGCTAGACAGAGTGGATGTATGCCTTTGGTAATACAAAGCTGATATGTCATGCAGTGAGACAAAATCCTCCATAACTACTACAATAGGCACAGAGATTTTTTGTGGTGCCAAGAACTATGATTGCAGCAGCAGCTACACTGGCAGTAGTAATACTTCTGGTAACCCAGGCCTCCTGCCATTTATACAAATGGATAACTGAAGACACTGGAGAAAGGGAGATACTTTTTGGCCATCAGCAATTTCAAGGATTTTCCTTCCTATTAGTCTAGATCTAATCTAATGACTGTGACAACAATATTGAATTATTAAATATTCTAATTTCCAGGGAACTCTCCGAAGTTCCTTGTTTCATTCTAAAAATCTGACTCAATCCTCTAATGTTGGAAATGTTTGCCCTGGAGAGTCATGTACCTCTACTCGGGGCAGCCTCTAAAGATCTACAGAACCCATTTTCTTTGCTGAGCCAACTAGATCTTCTTTGAAGAAGAAAGGGTCAGTTAGCACTATTCTTATATTACCAGAAATGAACAACAATTGTTTTGGGAGTGGAAAGATGAAAAGAAATGGAGGTATGAGTCTTCCAGGAATACATGGAATAATTGCTGCTTTGCTTGGCTGTGTTCTGATATCAGCCACATGTTATCAGAAACCACACCATGTGCTTCAGAACTTCCGACATTGCTGCTAAAAACACAATTGTCTCTTTGTATGATTCTAACATAATTTCTGTGAAAATCTACTATACACCAGCATTGCCTAAGAGGTGGATATACAAACATAAATAAGAGTAAGATTGTCCCCAAAAGTGACCCATATGTAAACAGTGACAATACAGCTTGATAAATTGTTCCATTTTTTTGAGACAGACTTTCACTCTGTCACCCAGGCTAGAGTGTAGTGGTGCGATTTCAGCTCACTGCAACCTCTGCCTCCCTGGTTCAAGGGACTCTTGTGCCTCAGCCTCTCCAGTAGCTGGGACTACATGCCACCATGTCTAATTTTTGTATTTTTAGTAGAGATGGGTTTCACCATGTTGGCCAGGCTGGTCTTGAACTCCTGACCTCAAGTGATCTACCCACCTTGGCCTCCCAAAGTGCTGGGATTACAGGTGTGAGCCACCGTGCCCGGCCTAAATTATGTAATAGGTGTTCCTTATTGTGTGCTATGGGAAGGCTGAGAAGAGATACCTAATTCAGGCTGGAAGGTTGTAATGTGGGAGTGGAGGTAAAGCCCTTGAAACAGTCTTCTAAGGATTTGGGACTACAGTCTAGAAGAAAGTGTATAAGAATTTCTGGTCAAGTTCTGGACAAGATACTCCCAGTATTATGATAAAAGAACATGAATAGAATGCTTTTCATATACTTTGAGGTTTAAGAGAGACAAGAAGCTTGACAAGAATAGAGAAAATTCCTACTGTAATGGAATATACTTAAAAAGAAACTGCAAAACTAAATTATAACTAAATACACTTCTGGTGAGGATTGTAAAGTCTTTTTATTGCCTCTGAGAGGAGGCTACCATCTGTTACTTTGAATATTTGTGCTTTCAGTCTTCTGAATGTTTTTAAATTTAAATTACAGCACTGAATTACTCCTCCCCTCCTCAGATATAGTCAATGTCTATGGAAATTTCTAGACTGGTAATTGGAAATTTTCAGGTGTGGTTATAAGCCTCTTAAAATAAGGCCAACTGATATCACTAACTTTGATGCCCTGCTATTTTTCTTTCGTATTTTCTGTTTTAAACTACTGTAGCCATAACCTTTTGAATAACCTGACTCAAATACGTTAATTGTACTCCATTACAATTATAATCCCAGGCTGGGCAATGGTTTTGTTTAGTTTGGTTATGTTCCTGCCACAATTTCCTCTTCCTTTCTCTTCTCCTACAATCCTTCAGTGAATTTTAAATCATAATTTACCTTTCCTGCTCCTATACACAAAGATACTAAATTCCAATTCCCCCAACCTAATCAGTGATAATGCAATCAATTCTTTACCAGGAAGCTACACATTCCTTAGCTGTCATTCATTAGTTAGAACATCAAGATCTAAATATGTGCTAATGTCCAGGCAAGGCTGACAAATTAGCTACACTGAGACACTAAAATAGCTATACTGCATGACAGGATACCAAACTGGCTTTCATTAACCTGTCTTGGCCAAGAAGAACTTATTTTTAGGCCACCCATGTAACTGGTTATTTATAAGGAGGAAGCACATTGACCTTTGGCTTTCACTACTGAACACACAGTCATGGAGACCAAAATTGTGTGTGAAAATCATTCAGTGACCACAGGAGATTCTATCTGAACCCGAGTCGCTAACAGCATCCTGTTACTTTATGGTCCTGAAGCATGGTTTTGGGTACAAAATTTCAGCCTTGTGTTAAAAGCAGAGCTTTGACATCATCAACAGATTACGTTAAACTAAGCTGTATCACACAATTACTGAGGACTTATTTGATGAGGCAAAATTTGTAGTTCAAATTTGAATTGTATACTTTGGAGGAAAAACTGGTTTGAATATAATCAATATACACAGATATACATTCTCTCTACTACTTTGCAACTGGTGACAAGTTAAATACAGTGCTGGTACATCTGTATGAAGACTCTCGTGCAACTACCTACATCATAGTTCCCAAGAATATTCATTAAAAAAGGTTATGATCATAAAACAATGTTAAAAATAATGAACGGACTTCAAACTATACTACAAGGCTACAGTACCAAAACAGCACGGTACTGGTACCAAAACAGAGATACAGAACAGAGCCCTCAGAAATAATACCACACATCTACAATCATCTGATCTTTGACAAACCTGACAAAAACAAGAAATGGGGAAAGGTTTCCCTATTTAATAAATGGTGTTGGGAAAACTGGCTAGCCATATGTAGAAAGCTGAAACTGGATCCCTTCCTTACACCTTATACAAAAATTAATTCAAGATGGATTAAAGACTTAAATGTTAGAACTAAAACCATAAAAATCCTAGAAGAAAACCTAGGCAATACCATTCAGGACATAGGCATGGGCAAGGACTTCATGTCTAAAACACCAAAAGCAATGGCAACAAAAGCCAAAATTAACAAATGGGATCTAATTAAACTAAAGAGCTTCTGCACAGTAAAAGAAACTACCATCAGAGTGAACAGGCAACCTACAGAATGGGAGAAAATTTTTGCAACCTACTCATCTGACAAAGGGCTAATATCTAGAATCTACAAAGAACTCAAACAAATTTACAAGAAAAAAACAAACAACCCCATCAAAAAGTGGGTAAAGGACATGAACAGACACTTCTCAAAAGAAGACATTTATGCAGCCAAAAAAACACATGAAAAAATGCTCACCATCACTGGCCATCAGAGAAATGCAAATAAAAACCACAATGAGATACCATCTCACACCAGTTAGAATGCCAATCATTGAAATAACAGGTGCTGGAGAGGATGTGGAGAAATAGGAACACTTTTACACTGTTGGTGGGACTGTAAACTAGTTCAACCATTGTGGAAGTCAGTGTGGCGATTCCTCAGGGATCTAGAACTAGAAATACCATTTGACCCAGCCATCCCATTACTGGGTATACACCCAAAGGATTATAAATCATGCTGCTATAAAGACACATGCACACGTATGTTTATTGTGGCACTACTCACAATAGCAAAGACTTGGAACCAACCCAAATGTCCATCAGTGATAGACTGGATTAAGAAAATGTGGCACATATACACCATGGAATACTATGCAGCCATAAAAAATGATGAGTTCATGTCCTTTGTAGGGACGTGGATGAAGCTGGAAACCATCATTCTCAGCAAACTATCACAGGGACAAAAACCAAACACCACATGTTCTCATTCATAGGTGGGAATTGGGAATTGAACAATGAGAACACATGGACACAGGAAGGGGAACATCACACACCGGGGCCTGTTGTGGGGTAGGGGGAGGGGGGAGGGATAGCATTAGGAGATATAACTAATGTAAACGACAAGTTAATGGGTGCAGCACACCAACATGGCACATGTATACATATGTAACAAACCTGCACATTGTGCACATGTACCCTAGAACTTAAAGTATAATTAAAAAAAATGAACTTAATATGACAGAATCCTAGTTTTGAGACAAAATATTTGTACATAGGAAAAAAGCCTGGAAAGAAATAGGTGAAAATGCATATAGTGACTATTTGTGAATCAGTATGAATTGTGGACATTTTATTTTCTATTTTCTATTTTTTGTTGTTGTTGCCCAAATTACCCACAGCGGCTGGGTGCAGTGGCTCATGCCTGTAATCCCAGCACTTTAGGAGGCCAAGACAGGCAGATCACCTGAGGTCAGGAATTCGAGACCAGCCTGGCCTACATGGTGAAACTCCGTCTCTACTAAAAATACAAAAACTAGCCAGGTGTGGTGGCGCGCCCCTGTAGTCCCAGCTATTTGGGAGGCTGAGGCAGGAGAATCACTTGAACCTGGAAAGCAGAGGTTGCAGTGAGCAGAGATTGAGCAACTGTGCTCCAGCCTGGGCAACAGAGGGAGACTCCATCTCAAAACAACAGCAACAACAAATTACCCACAGTGGCTTGTAATACTTTCATAAATAAAAAAAACCTATCAACATTTTCTAAGAGGTCCAGGTAATTATGGTCATGTATATACAATTAGATTCTCAAAGCAAAAATAAAGGTTATTTGAAAAAAATTATGGGGCTGGGCACGGTGGCTCATCCATGTAATCCAAACACTTTGGGAGGCCGAGGCAGGCGGATCACCTGAGGTCAGTAGTTTGAGACTGGCCTGGCCAACATGGTGAAATCCCTGTCTTTACTAAAAACACAAAAATTAGACGGGCATGGTGGTGGGTGCCTATAATCCCAGCTACTCAGAGGCTGGGTCTGGGAGAATTGCTTGAACCCAGGAGGTGAAGCCTGCAGTGAGCTGAGATCATGCCACTGCACTCCAGCCTGGGCAACAGAGGGAGACCCTGTCTCAATTCAAAAACCAACCAACCAACCAACCAAAAACAAATATCACTATAGAAATGTTAAAAAACAAACCTCCTAATCACATATGCACCCGAACCAAGGCTCGAGGAGCTCTTACAGGCCCTTTATCATGAAAGTTGGTGTGGCCTACTCACCCCTCTCTGTAGCAGGGTTCTTTCTTCAGGTAGAGTCGTCTGAAGAACGCTTCAATTTTTGTAGCTTCACCCTCAGGTAGAGTCGTCTGAAGAACGCTTCAACCTTTGTAGCTTCACCCTCAGCTCACCAAATGGTGACCCAAGCCTCTCACAACTCCTTTTATACTCCAGAAAGAGAGGGCGGGCACACTGCCCTGGTTGATTACATTATCTCTGATTAATCACATAATCTTTTTTTCACACTGCCATTAATTGCAATCCAGGGAGGGGCTCATGAAGCATTTTGTTTTGAATCTATTATGTAGATTAAAAAACCAATCACTGAGGATTATCTAGTTTGGCTCACATTTCTCAGTTTTAAAGTTTTTCTTTTAAAATTTATCTGTTTAAACGTTTCAAGTTGACACATAATAATTGCACATATTATGGAGTACATAGTGATATGACACGTATAACATATAGTGATTAATTAGATCAGAGTAATTAGTGTGTTCCTCATCTCAAACATTTATCACTTCTTTATGTTGTGAACATTCAATATCCTCCTTCTAGCAATTTGAAACTGAATATTATTGTTAACTATAGGCATCTTACAATGCTACAGAACACTATAATTTATTCCTATGTAGTTGCAATTTTGTATTCTTTAACAAATCTCTCCCTATTTTCCTCTTCCCTCTACCCTTCCAAGCCTCTAGTATACCCTGTTCTACTTTTTACTTCTATAAGATCAACTTTTTTTTTTAGCTTCCACATATGAGTGAGAACAATCTGTGTTTAACTTTAGGTTCCTGCCTTCTTTCACTTAACATAATGTCCTCCAGTTCTATCCGTGTTACTGCCAATGACAGGATTCCATTTTTGTATGGATAATTAGTATTCCATTGTGTATATATATCACATAAAGGTTTTCTTTAAAAAAAAAAACTTCAAATCTTGTCAACATTTATCACCTTTAAAAATAATTAAATCAGGCTCTCTCCTCCTGCCGAAAGGAAAGAAGGCCAAGGGAAAGAAGGTGGCTCCGGCCCTGCTGTCGTGAAGAAGCAGGAGGTTAAGAAAGTGGTGAATCCCCTGTTTGAGAAACGGCCTAAGAATTTTGACATTGGACAGGACATTCAGCCCAAAAGAGACCTAACCAGCTTTGTGAAATGGCCCCCACTATATCAGGTTGCAGCGGCAGAGAGCCATCCTCTGTAAGTGGCTGAAAGTGCCTCCTGAGATTAACCAGTTCACCCAGGCCCTGGACCACCAAACAGCTGCTCTGCTACTTCAGCTGGCCCACAAGTACAGATCAGAGACTAAGCAAGAGAAGAAACAGAGGCTGTTGGCCCTGGCCAAAAAGAAAGCTGCTGGCAAAGGGGGCATCCCCACTAAGAGACCACCTGTCCTTCGAGCAGGAGTTAACACCATCACCACCTTGCTAGAGAATAAGAAAGCTCAGCCGGTGGTGATTGCACACGACGTGGATCCCATCGAGCTGGTTGTCTTCTTGCCTGCCCTGTGTCATAAAATGCGGGTCCCTTACTGCATTATCAAGGGGGAGGCAAGACTGGGACGTCTAGTCCACAGGAAGACCTGCACCACTGTCGCCTTCATACAGGTTAACTCAGAAGACAAAGGCGCTTTGGCTAAGCTAGTGGGAGCTATCAGGACTGACTACAATGACAGATACAATGAGATCCGCCGTCACTGGGGAGGCAATGTCCTGGGTCCCAAGTCTGTGGCTTGCATTGGCAAGCTCGAAAAGGCAAAGGCTCAAGAACTTGCAACTAAGCTGGGTTAAATGTACACTGTTGAGTTTTCTGTACATAAAAATAATTAAAATAGAACAAATTTTCCTTGAAAAATTAAATCAGGGTTGTGTTTACATTAACTCAATAAACCTTTTCTGAATTTCTACCATGTACCCTGGTACCCTGAGCTGTGCTTGGAGAGAGGAATAGAAGGAAAAACAGGACATGGTCACAGGCTCTACATAGCTCACAGGCTGCTACGATGGAGACAAACAAGAAAACTGAGAGCACCTATGTAGGAATGTGGCATAAGGACATATAAATACTGCTGTGAGTAGCAAACAGTTTAAAGTGCTTGCCTAGTGCCGTTCTAAGCCTGTTCTACGTATAAATTCATTTTATCCTCACAACAAACCCATGAGGTAGATATTGTGATTTTCTTTACATTGCAGATGAGGAAACTGAGGTACAGAAAAGTTATGTCACACAACAAATAATTTGAATCTGGATTCAAAGCCTGGCTTCAGATTATAACAGATAAATAACAGTAATGCAGAAAGTGTTATAGTAGGGAAAATAAAAAGTGCTAAGGGAAATCAGAGAGGGTCATCTAACTGAGACCTAGGATTCAAAAAAGGCTTTCATGAAGAGGTTATGACCTCGGAGCTGAGTTGTGGATGAGTAGTGGGTTTTGGAATATGGGGGATGTGGGCAGAAAAGAAACAGGGAATCCCTAGAGGGAATTAAACAAGTTCCTGATTGTGAAAGAATTTATATTCCATACTAGGGAATATGAAATGGTGAGATAATGGGGAACTTTAAGGGTTTTAAGCAAGAAAGCCTTAAATCAAATTTGTGGTTTTTAAATAAATAAGTGTTGGAAAGTGCAAGAACAAAGGTGGAGAACTAAATCTGGGGTCTGTGTAGCATTAACAAATCCCCCCCTGGGCCGGGCGCAGTGGCTCACGCCTGTAATCCCAGCACTTTGGGAGGCCGAGGGGGGTGGATCATGAGGTCAGGAGATCGAGACCATCCTGGCTAACATGGTGAAACCCCGTCTCTACTGAAAAAAAAAATACAAAAAATTAGCCAGGCGTGGTGGTGGGCACCTGTAGTCCCAGCTACTCGGGAGGCTGAGGCAGGAGAATGGAATGAACCCGGGAGGCGGAGCTCGCAGTGAGCCAAGATCGTACCACTGCACTCCAGCCTGGGCGACAGAGCAAGACTCCATCTTAAAAAAAAAAAAAAAAAAAAAAAAATTCCCCCCTGGCCGGGCGAGGTGGCAGACGCCTGTAATCCCAGCACTTTGGGAGGCCGAGGCAGATTAATCACTTGAGGTCAGGAGTTCAAGACCAGCCTGGCCAACATGGTGAAATCCTATCTCTACTAAAAATACAAAAATTAGCTAGGCATGGTGGCACATGCCTGTAGTCCCAGCTACTCGGGAGGCTGAGACAGGAGAATCACTTGAACCTGGGAGGCGCAGGTTGCAGTGTGCTGAGATCATACCATTGCACTCCAGTCTCAGTGACACAACAAGACTCCATCTCAAAAAAAAAAAAAAAAAAAATTCCCCCCTACTAGCCTGTAAACTTCTGAACTCCTGAAAGGCATTCTCTTGAGAGTGATTAATCTTATTATATCTGAGTAGGGCAGAGCCAAAATGGTGCCTGTGAAAGGAGAATGCTCAAATAAACTTTTGATGGGAAATAAGTGAAAACCATCTATCACTACTATAATCCAAAACTTTTTAAAAAAGAATGTTTTATCAACTTTATTAAGGTTTAAAGAGTAATTGACAAAAATTAAATATATTTATGGTGTACTGTGTGATGTTTATATATATACACTACACATTGCGAAATACATAAAGCTATTTAACATATCTATCACTTTACATATTTTTTTGAGATGAGAAAATTTAAGATCTAATCTATTCAAAATTTTCAGGTGTGTAACACATTATTATTAACTATAGTCACTATGCTGGGTAATAGATCTCCAGAACTTAGTCATCCTAACTGAAAGCTTGTACTCTATTTTTTTTTTTTGAGATGGAGTTTTGCTCTCATTGGCCAGGCTGGAGTACAATGGCACGATCTCAGCTCACTGCAACCTCTGCCTCCCTGGTTTGAGCGTTTATTCTGCCTCAGCCTCCCAAGTAGCTGGGATTACAGGCATGCACCACCATGCTCGGCTAATTTTTATGTATTTAGTAGAGAGAGGGTTTCACCATATTGGTCAGGCTGGTCTCGAACTCCTTGCCTCAAGTGATCCACCTGCCTTGGCTACCCAAAGTGCTGGGATTACATGCGTGAGCCACCGCACCCGGCCAAATGTTGTACTCTTTAAACAACATCTCCTGATTTTTCCCCAAGCCTCAGCCCCTGGCAACCACCATTCTACTCTCTGCTTCTATGATTTTGACTTTGTTAGATTTCACATGTGAGATCATAGAGTATGTGTCTTTCTGTGCCTGTTTTATTTCACTTAGCAAAATGTCCTCCAGGTGCATTCATGTCATAGCAAAGGACAGTATTTCCTTCTTTTTTAAGGCTAAATTGTATTCCTGTGTGTGTATATACTGTATATACATGTTATGTATATGGTTTTCTTTATCCACATTTTAAAATCTACATTTTCTTTATTTGTTGGCTATTGTGAATGATGCTGCATGGATCAAGGGAGTGTAGATGTCTCTTCAACATACTGATTTCATATATTTGGATATATACCCTGAAGTGGGATTGCTGGATCATATAATAGTTCTATTTTTAATATTTTTAAAACTCTGAAACTACTTTCTGGATATTCTTGTTTTAAGCAAATGAGTAAATATATTTTGAATAACAGAACCAGGTTTATTTTTATTTTTCTTTCTTTTCTTTTTTTTCTTTCTTCTTAGAACCAGGTTTCTCATTGCTAGAGACAAGTAGACACAAATATGGAACATGGGAAAGCTAGAATGAATCTCAGAGTATTGGATTGAATTTTGAGCACGTCTAATAATATTCAGATTTTGGTTCCTAAATACTGTTTTCCTCTAAAAGGAAACAGGCCTTATTGAGAAATGACTTGTTCCAGGGCTGGGGCAGGAAAAGTACAAGGTAAGATTGGAAATTTCTTTCTTTCTTCCTTTTTTTTTTTGAGACAGAGTCTTGCTCTGTTGCCCAGGCTGGAGTGCAATGGCATGATCTCGGCTCACTGCAACCTCTGCCTCCCAGGTTCAAGCAATTCTCCTGCCTCAGCCTCCCAAGTAGCTGGGATTACAGGCATGTGCCACCACGCCCAGCTAATTTTTTGTATTTTTAGTAGAGACAAGCTTTCACCCTGTTGGCCAGCCTGGTCTCAAGCTCCTGACCTCAGGTGATCCATCTGCCTCCGCCTCCCAAAGTGCTGGGATTACAGGCATGAGCCACCACACCCAGCCTAAGAAATTTCCACGCCCAGAGATTTCTTGAGCCAGAGATTAAGGAAGTACTCAAAGGCAGAAGGAAAAGACATGAAAAGGACACCAAAATCTGCTTGAAGAGACTTCCAGTTGCCCCAAATCTGGGACGATTTGAGTATCAAAATAAGAAAAGATAGAAACAGATTATAACTCACTGAATAAAAGGAGAATCAATGAGTACATATTTAAATAAGTATTTGAGCAAGAAGGGAAACCTCCTTACAGTAGAATGCCAATTGGTACATGTTGAAGAAATGGCAGAATTAGAAATCACCATTTGGAAATTATCATGGTAATAATTTGGGATCGAATCATCAGTGGATGATAAAACTAGTGCATGAAAGTTTGATATGCAATATGGTATTTATATAACTTTAAAGTATCTCTTCGGAGACATTAATTGTAAAGGGAAAAGTAGTTATTTTAGAAATCTGGTAGCCATCACCATGACCAAGTGACCAAAGTTAATATCTTCAGTAATGGGAGAAATTAACATCAAGCATTTCCTGATAGGATACGTGGAGAGGAAAATAACATCACTTCAGAGATATTCCTGCCAAACGTGTATCCTGAATCTAATCATGAGGAAACATCAGAAAAACCCAAACTGAGAAACATTCTTGGTATAATTGGCTTGTACTAATCAGAAACGTCAAGGTCATATAGAAGATAAATAATAACTGATCCACTATTAAGATCAAAGAAAACATGACATGACCACTCTAGCCAGTCTGTGACCCAGGTTTTTATTTTACTATAAAGGATGTTACTTCGACAACTAGATAAATTCTAGCTAGTGTAGATGAGCTAAGACTATTGTATTGATGCTAATTGCCTGATTTTGATAATTGTGCTGCAGTTATGTAAGAGAATATATATTCCTGTTTTTGGACCCTGGGGTTTTAGGACACTAAAGTGTTAAAGATATAATGTCTGCAACTTCCTTGCAAACAGTATAGAGAAAGAAATAATGTATATACATAGGTAGAGAGAGGATGATGAAACATGTTGGCAAGATGTTAAAATTCAGGGAATCTGAGTGAAAATAGGCAGGAATTCTTTATATTTTTCTTGCATCTTTTCTTCATATCTCAAATTACATCAAAGAATGTTTAGAAAACTAAGATGATTTGTGGTAAAGCCCTCCGGACAACTGTCTGAGGCACAGTGTCTGGTAGTCTTTACTCCCCACAATTGTAAGTAGAATTAGGGCATACCAGCTCACAGGCAGAAAAGGAAACTCCTCTACATGAAATACGGGGTTGGGGGCGGAGAATTACAATGTGGTGAAGGAAATGAATGGTTGAAATCTGAAAGTTCATTAAACTCTGGACTACTCCATTTCTTTATATCTGTAAAAAAACTTTATAAACAACTCTTAAAAACAGAATAACAAGGGACTATCAATGCTTTTGTGTACAAATAAACACGAAGAGTAAAATGAAATCTACTTTGTTTGGGGATCTAAAAGAAACTCTTATTACACTGTGAGCTGGGTAGAAAGTTGCTAGAAATTAAGCTAGAGGCAGATAGGAGAATGTCATTATAAGTTTCACTTGACTTAGGAGGCATTACATGATTTGCCCCAGGTCTTTCAGTAAAGATTAGGGTTTATTTCTCAAATATTGGGCTCTTGACTGGGGAACCAATTGGATGAATGGGCACAGTGTGTAGGTCACAACCTTCTTTCCATGTTCATGTGATATATCCTTCCTCACATTCAATCATCAACACTCTGCCTTATGAATACATAGATGCATTTATTCAATGAACAATTATTATTCTTCCTGTCAGATACTGTTCTCAGTACAAGACAAAATGGTGAATAAGTTAGATAATATCCCTTTTCATAAAGAGCTTATAATTTACACTTTAGTGGGAGGATTAGACAGTAAACAAGACCCAAATATTTCAATATGACTATTGCAACTTTTGAAAGGTGCCAAGAAGGAAACCTGCAGGATGATATAATTGAAAGAAAGAAAAATAAGTTTTCAGATCTTCCCTGAGGAGGGTTCATTTTAGTTGACGTCTGAATGATCACAGAATGCCTGGGACTGAGGGGTTTCCTGGGATAAGGAACTTTCAGTTTTAAAACAGGGACAAGTCTGGCAAACTGAGACATGAGACACCCTAGCACATGACTGGCTTATGCTTCAAAGGAGCACTCTAATTTGTGAATGAAATGATGTCACAGCTTTGTTTTAAAATAATCCAGCCAGGAGAAGGTGCAGTGGGGGATATAGTTGAAAAAAGATTGGCCATATGTTAATTAATGTTGTGATGGGTAGTGGAACTCATTATACTATTCTAAATTTGTAGTTTGCAAGTTCAAGAAGATAAAAATAAAAGGATGCTTCTGGCTGTTTTATGGAGAATGGTTTGCAAGGGTTAGGAACACGACATAAGAGGCTAGAGCAGTAGTTTAGGAGACATGATCATGGCTTGGATGAATCAGGTAGGGGTGGAGGTGGTGATAATATGGGATGTATTTTGCATATAGAGCAATGGAAAGGATGTAGGATTTGTGAAGAAGTGTGGATTTAATAGGTAGAGGTCAGCGGAGAGGTTGGCAAAGGAGATTTCAAAAAAGCAGTCGGTGAAGGAAGACAAACCAGCGAGTGTCAGGTCAGTGAAAACTGAGTCAAGGAGAAAACTGGTCAACTATGTGAAGCGCCAAGGAGAAATTAAATGGAATAAGGTTAGATCATTGAGTCTTGGGGCAAAAACTGAACTGAAGAGAGATTGGAGAGAGGCAACATGGGAAGAAGGAATATGGAGAGGTTGGACTCTTGAAAAGTTTTGCTGTGACTTGGAAAGGCAGTAGATTATTAAGTCAGATTTAGTAGTTTTTGAGTTCAAAGGAGAGTTTTTTTTTTTATTTCCATAGGTTATTGGGGAACAGGTGGTGTTTGGTTACATGAGTAATTTCCTTAGTGGTGATTTGTGAGATTTTGGTGCACCCATCACCCGAGCAGTATACACTGCACTCAATTTGTAGTCTTTCATCCCTCACCCTCTTCCCACCCTTTCCCCCTGAGTCCCCCAAAGTCCATTGTGTCATTCCTATGCCTTTGCATCCTCATAGCTTAGCTCCCACTTATGAGTGAGAACATACGATGTTTGGTTTCCCATTCCTGAGTTACTTCACTTAGACTAGTATTCTCCAATGTCATCCAGGTTGCTGTGAATGCCATTAATTTATTCCTTTTTATGGCTGAGTAGTATTCCATTGTGTATGTATACACACACACACACACACACACACACACACACACACACACCACAGTTTCTTTATCCACCAAATGAGAGTTTTTAAAACATGGAGGAAATTCTATGTAAAAAAGTTATGTGTATTTACCAGTATATTTTAAAATGGCAGAAAAAGATGGGAGACACCAGGAAATGGTTGTAAGCTGGATGGAAATGACATAGTACAGAGGGAAATATTGATGATGTGAAAGAGAAACAGGGGTGAAGCCATTAAGGGTGTAAGGAGGTTGGCTTTCAGAAGGCAGTAGTGACATTTCACAGTAGTAGGAAGAGATGGTAAATATATTAATAAATGCATCTTTTTTAATGGAGTTGGATGGAGACAGTAGGGGCTTGCCCTTCTGATTGCTTCTAATTGCTTGGTGAAATATATGGTAAGTTCATCAATCAAGGGGTGATAGATGAATGCAAAGAGGTTGGAAATATCAGTCCTAAAATCTGATATTCCTTTATTAGTGCTAGATTCCTTTCAGACTTAAATTGTTTTTCTTGAGACAAGGTCGCCCAGGCTGGAGTGCAATGGCGAGATCTTGGCTCACTGCAACCTCTGCCTCCGGGGTTCAGGCGATTTTCCTGTCTCAGCCTCCTGAGTAGCTGGAATTATAGGCACCTGCCACTATGCCTGGCTATTTTTTTGTTTTTTTAGTAGAGAGGGGTTTCACTATGTTGGCCAGGCTGCTCTTGAACTCCTGACCTCATGATCCACCCGCCTTGACCTCCCAAACCTTTCCTTAGCAAAATTATCCAAAGAGAATGGGAATCTAGCTAAGATACCTGGCTAAGAGGGAGGCTAAGAGGGAGGCAATGGGAGATATTGATACTAGTAATGGAAGAAGAAAACCTGCTTTGATTGTTTTCTCTCTTCTAGGATGAGATGCAGATTTCTTTTAAACTATATAGAGCTCAGGTTGAGTTAATTATACTCCTTAGTTTAGGGCACACTATTCATTCTGTGAGGATTTCTTTCTTTCCCTCCCTTCCTTCCTTCCTTCCTTCCTTCCTTCCTTTCTTCATTCCCTCCTTCCTTTTTTTTGACAGAGTCTTGCTCTGTCACCCAGGCTGGAGTGCACTGGCGTGATCTTGGCTCACTGCAACCTCCGCCCCCGGGGTTCTAGTGATTCTCCTACCTCAGCCTCCCGAGTAGTTGGGATTATAGGTGACCGCCACCAAGACCGGCTATTTTTTTTTTTTGTATTTTCAGCAGAGATGGCGTTTCACCATTTTGGTCCTAGTAGAGACGGGGTCCTATTTGCTATTTCTACGTCTCCCCGCCACCCTCATAACCATTCTGATGTGTTTAATATGCATCCTGTTTTGTGTGCATGCATTTTAACTTACATAAATGGTATTGTGATAGAAATCTCATTTTCATCTAACTTTTTTCTTTTTTCTTTTCTTTTTTCATTTGTGATACAGGGTCTCTATCTGTCACTCAGGCTGGAGTGCAGTGAGTGGAGCAATCTTGGCTTACTGCAACCTCCGCCTCCTGGGTTCAAGCGATTCTCATGCCTCAGCCTCTTGAGTAGCTGGGATTACAGGCATGCACCACCACACCCGGCTAATTTTTGTACTTTCAGTAGAGACGGGGTTTCACCATGTTGATCAGGCTGGTCTCAAACTCCTGACCTCAAGCAATCTGCCTGCCTCAGCCTCCCAAAGTGCTGGGATTACAGGTGTGACCCATTGTGCCTGGATTTTCAGATCTATCTATGATTCTATACACATCTGGATTTTAAGGACTGGATTTTAAGATCTATCTATGATTCTATATACATCTGGGCTCCTGCCTTTTCTAGTGGCTGGGTGGTAGGTTGTTCAAGGAGTAAGTGCATCTACCACATTTTGTTTATTCACTCTCCAACCATGCACACCAGATTCCATCATCATCCTCAAACTTGTCTCCTTTTGGATGTTCAAAATGTCTTAGGGATGGATACCCAGGAGCTAAAGTGCAGGGGCATGGTGCATAGCTATATTGATTTGACCAAGAAACTCTAGATTGTCTTCTGGATGGCTGTATCAGTGTCCACCAACAGTCATGAACATTCCTATTACTCCCACCCCCAAACCCTCCAACACTTGGCATTATCCAACTTTCCAATGTTTGTCCATTAATGGATCTAAAGGGTTATGTCACTGTATTATTTTTTAAAAATGTGTATACCTCTGATTATTAAGTTTAAACATATCTTCACACATTTGCTGAACTTTTGAGTTTTTTTCTGAAGATTGCCTATTCATATCCTTTGCCAATTTTTTTTTTTTTGAGACAGAGTCTCACTCTGTTGCCAGGCTAGAGTGCAGTGGTACGATCTCAGCTCACTGCAACCTCCCTCTCCCGGGTTCAAGCAATTCCCCTGCCTCAGCCTCCTGAGTAGCTGGGACTACAGGCACAGCCTGGCTAATATTTTTTGTATTTTAGTAGAGACGGGGTTTCACCATGTTGGCCAGGATGGTCTTGAACTCCTGACCTCGTGATCTGCCTGCCTCAGCCTCCCAAAGTGCTGGGATTACAGGAGTGAGCCAACACACCTGGCCATCCTTTGCCTATTTTCTTTTAGATTTCCTGTTCCTTGTTGATTTGCAAACCATAAAGAATAATGATTAAACATGAAGGATAGTGAGTACCCCTATGGTTGAGGTTGGAAGTGGGATGGAATCCTGGAGGGAGATACAGAGGATTTTAACTGCATTGTAATGTTTAATCCTTCAGGTTAGGTGGTAGATCAAGTATACTTATTGAATTACTCTTTATCTCTTTGTTAATATTACATGTTATGTAATTTTAAACAAATTCTACAGGTTAGAATTTATTCATTATTCTAAATCAGTACTTTACAGGCCAGGCACGGTGGCTCATGACTGTAATCCCAGTACTTTGGGAAGCCAAGGTGGGTGGACCACCTTAGGTCAGGAGTTCAAGATCAGCATGGGCCAACATGGTGAAACCTCTACTCTACTAAAAAAACACAAATTAGCCGGGTATGGTGGCGCACACCTGTAATCCCAGCTATGTGGGAAGCTGAGGCAGGAGAATTGCTTCAACCAAAGAGGAGGAGGTTACAGTGAGCTGAGATTGCACCACTGCACTGCAGCCTGGGTGACAGAGTGAGACTCCATCTCAAAAATAAAAATAAATAAATAAATAAATATTATTACTTCTCAAAATGCGGTTCCCACACCTAGTATCATCAGCATCACCAAAGAACTTGTTAGAAATGCAAAATTGGCTTGGACTTCAGACCTCTGGAATCAGAACTCTGGAGGTGGGGCCCATCAGTCTGTGTTTTAACAAGCCTTCCATGTGATTCTGGGACAGCTAAATGTTTTGAACTATTGTAGGCAAAAACTAAAGCACATTTTCATGCTATCTTAAAAAATAAGAAAATCTCTTTTGCAATCTCAACTTCTTTTTTTCTTTTTGCATGCTATTTCTTGGTATTTGCACTATTTTATATGCTTGGACCAAGTTTCAAAATCCTATTAATTATTTATTGCTTATGCAAAGCTACAGCTTCAAATACTGAACATGTAACTTTATCACTTAGTGTCTCGAATTCAAATTAAACTAATCTAATTTTTATTATGTTTTAAAACACAGAATATCCAACATTGATCTTTTATAATTCAATTGCTAAATCATTCAGTCTCAGTTTTTGCAAGTTTATTCTTTTTATGAAGAATGGAAATCCCTGTAACAATGTTCACTGAACTTTCAGTACAATTTTTTGAAATCTTGTTGCTAGAGAAACTAAGAACAGTTCTAGATTTCCCTCTTTCTCTGATGCCAGCTTCCAACCAGAACTTGGGAAACATTTCCTTTTGAACAACCTGTCATTTCCCTACTGGTAAACACCAAGGCTCATATTCCAAAGAAGTTTTCATGGTGGTGATTAGGCACAACCTTGCTAAAAATTTGCATGTACATTTAATGTCAGCAAATTTAAAAAATTTTCCCACTATTTTGCAAAATAATTTCAGAGATAATTTATCTTTCTTTCTTACTAATCTCCATTTGGCTATACAAGACTGGCCTCAGGTAAACTCTGACTGATGCAAGTGAAATTTGTCTGTGACACTACATCCTCTTTTCTGTTCTTTTAAACTCCTGTCTGGGCCTGCCTGTATTCCATTGGTAGGATTCTCCCCAACTTCTCTCTCACTACGGCCGTGGCCCTTTCGCCAGATTCTTGGCGGTTGAGGTGTCCTCATTGTGCCCTACGGGTTAGGATAGTCACCCTCCTTCCCCCTTGCCATGTAAACACAAATTAAACTGTAGGGTCCCTATTTCCTCAGGGTTCTGATCTGCTGACAAGGGTGTTAATGGTTTAAGTGGAATTAATCAACCTTGACTGATTGTACTCAGCTTGTGGTTTCACACTTCTTTTAGGAAAAACTTTCATTGTAAAAAGAAGTAAAACAAACAAATGCAGAATTCAACTAATTCATTGAGTGAGGGTTAGTTTTGGCACTCAGCCAGTTGGCTTTTTTCTCTGGGGTGAAAAGGTACGCTCTAAGGCAATGGTTCTCTACTGGGAGCGTTGAGAACCATATTGATGCCAAAACCCTGTTTCCAGAAATTCTGATTTAATTGATCTGAGCCTGGGCCTGGGCATTGGTGTTGAAATCTCCCAGGTGTTACTAATATGGTTTTTCCTCTTTATCCTGCTTTAGAATCACCTGTAGAGCTTGTTAAATCAGGATTCCTGGCTCCACTGCACAGTTTCTGGTTCACTAGGTCTGGAATAGGGCCTGATGATTTGCATTCTAACAATTCCCAGGGGACGTTGATGCTATTGGTCCAGGAACCACATTTGCCTCGACCAGGAAATACTTCTACTGTCCCCACCCTCTTAAAAATACTTGTAAACTTAAGAATGGTTAAGAACATTATTCTAATTCATTCACTTTATCATCATGAATCCATGGAAGCCCCTTTCACTTTAGTTTCTAAAAATATTTAATTTAATTTTAATTTAACAAATATTTAATTTTAATTTTAAAACTATTTAACCTTAATTCCCCATCACTACTCTTATTCTCTCTTTTCCCACTTTCTCTAATTCATTTGACATGTTACCCAGTTGAAGTGTCAATCCTCAGAATTAAGTCATAGAGCTTTTTGCTTTGAGGAAAATTTTAAATTGGAATGCTTTAGGGGGACCCTTATGTTACAAAAAGACTATGCTGCTAAGACTATCAAATATGTTATAGTTTAAATGTTGTATTTATCATTATTTACATAAATAATATAATAAAACCTTTTCTAATAAATAAAAATTAAGACTGCTTTTTCTTGTAGTGATACTTATTTTCTATTAAGTAGGAAATACTATAAAGAAATTCTTTAGAGTATTTATTATCCTTGTGGATAAAACACAGTTATCGCGACTGACACAAATGTTACAGTAGAAAAATATTATAAAGTCATACATCAATTTTAAAACAGGATAAAAATTATATGGATAAAATATAAGTGGTGATTTGTTCCCCACGAAAATTCCTGAGTTCAGATGTTTTTGAATACCACTGTTTTAATCTAATCTAATCTTGTTATATAATTCACTCTGTCTGGGAAATTAATGGGATATCCTTAAACTTTTGTGATTGGTTTTCAAATACCAGTAAAGCAGAGGGATAAAATGACCTGTGTCAAAATTAAATATAGCTATTGATTTTTCTTTTTCCTTTTCCTTTTTTTTTGAGACAGAATCTAGCTCTTGTTGCTCAGGCTGGAGTGCAGTGGCAGGATTTCAGCTCACTGCAACCTACGCCTCCCAGGTTCGAGCGATTCTCCTGCCTCAGCCTCTGAGTAGCTGGGACTGCAGGCACCCGCCACCACGCCCAGCTAATTTTTGTATTTTGGTAGAGACGTGGTTTCATCTTGTTGGCCAGGCTGGTCTGGAACTGTTGGCCTCAGGTGATGCACCGGCCTCGGCCTCCCAAAGTGCTGGGATTACAGACCGGGAGTGGTGGCTCAAGCCTGTAAACCCAGTACTTTGGGAGGCCGAGGTGGGTGGATCACCTGATGTCACGAGTTCCAGGCCACCCTGGCCAACACAGTGAAACACTGTCTCTACAAAAAATACAGAAATTAGCTGTGCATGGTGGCGCACGCCTGTAAACCCAGATACTCGGGAGGCTGAAGCAGGAGAATTGCAGCCTGGTTGACAAGAGCGAGACTCTGTCTCAAAAAATAAAAAAGTGCTGGACTTAACATGAGCCATCGTGGCCAGCCTAAATATAGCTATTGATTTTTAACTAGCCATAATCTTCCGGAAGGCTGTCAGCTTTGTGATCCTTTGATATCACAAAGGCACAATCCTTGTGACTAACTCATCAAAACTACTATAAATGTGTTTATGATGTTGCTCTAAGTATTACATTGATTTTTATAAATATTTCTACATTTATTAACATTCGATACCTCATATTATCCCTGAAAGAATCATATGACACATATGTACAACTGGCAAATGCCACTAATTTTAGTTATAGAATAAATGAAGTTTATTCACCATTTAATTAAGGAGGGAAATGCATATTATTGCTTTTTTTTTTCTTTTAAGACAGAGTCTCGCTCTGTTGCCTAGGCTGGAGTGCAGTGGTGCAATCTCGGGTCACTGCAACCTCTGCCTCCCTGTTCAAGTGATTCTCGTGCCTCAGGCACCCAAGTTGAGTAGCTGGGATTACAAGCATGCCACTATGCCTGGCTTATTTTTTGTATTTTTAGTAGAAACGGGGTTTCACCATGTTGGCCAGGCTAGTCTCAAACTCCTGGCCTCAAGTGATTTGCCCTCCTTGGCCTCCCAAAATGCTGGAATTACAGGCTGAGCCACTGTGCCTGTCCTATTACTGTGTTTTTAATCCTTCTAAATCTTTCTTCATCCACAGGGACCACACCCCATGTATTTTATTACCTAAAATACTGTTTATATGTTAACATTCTTACAATTATTATTATTATTATTTTGTGAAGGAGTTTCACTCTTGTTGCCCAGGCTGGAGTGCAATGATGCGATCTTGGCTCACTGCAACCTCTGCCTCCTGGGTTTAAGCAATTCTCCTGCCTCAGCTTCCAGAGTAGCTGGGATTACAGATGTGTGCCACCACACCCAGCTAGTTTTTGTATTTTTAGTAAAGAAATTTCACCATGTTGAAATTCTTTAGTAAAGAATTTAGTACAGAAATCTTTACTAAATTCTTTAGTAAAGAAATTCTTTATGAAATTCTTTACTAAAGAAATTCTTTAGTAAAGAAATTTTACCATGTTGGCCAGGCTGGTCTCGAACTCCTGACCTCAGGTGATCCACCTGCCTCAGCCTCCCAAAGTGCTGGGGTTACAGGCATGAGCCACCGTGCCTGGTGACAATTTTATTATTATTTTTTAGAGACATGGTGTCTTGCTACGTTGCCTGGGCTAACTCTTGGGCTCAAGCAATTCTCTAGCCTCAGCCTCCTGCATAGCTGCGATTATAGACTTGAGCCACTGCACCCAGCATAAATGTTTTGTAAGTACTGCATTGGCTTAGACCCCAGTTTTAGAGGTGTGTGTGTGTGTGTGTGTGTGTGTGTGTGTGTTTCTCTGTGTGTGTGGTGATGGCTTCTGTGTTATTACCTTCACTCAGTGGAGAAATGTATCAGGTTTACTAGTTCTGTATTCAAATGTCCTCAGAGAACCATTGCTCCTAACTTAGAGTGAACCTGGATCCCAGAGAGATTGCATGGCATCAGATGTAGTAGAAAAACATATTGCTTTCTGTTTCCTTCCAGTTACACTGTTAAACCATGTCCAAAGTAAAACTTTTTTTTTAAACGTAATTGCCATACATTCTGATGTGTGTTCAATTTGTGATGAATGGCAGTTTCCACATTAAAAAAATGTTTGTTCGGCTGGGCACTGTGGCTCATGCCTGTAATCCCAGTACTTTGATAGGTCAAGGTGGGCAGATCACTTGAGGCCAGAATTTCTAGACTAGCCTGCCAAAATGGTGAAACCCCATCTCTCCTAAAAATACAGAGATTAGCCAGGCATGGTGGTGTGCACCTGTTATTCCAGCTACTCGGGAGGCTGAGGCACGAGAATCACTTGAACCCAGGAGGCAGAGGTTGTAATGAGCCGAGATCACACCACTGAACTCCAGCTTGGACGACAGAGTGAGACCCTACCTCAAAAATTAATTAATTAATTAATTAATTAAAAAAGTTTGTTCAGGAATTTGCTATATTTTGTTTGTGTAACTTTAAAAAAAATCCTAAGTATACTTCCCCATACATTTCTCAATGCTATTGCTCATTAGTCTATATGCCTCCTTCTGCAGCTTTACAAAGTCATTTAGAATTCTAATCCTGTCCTCCCAAGTAATAACCATTTATTCTAATTTGCTATTATCTGTAAATTTAATCATGTGCTCTAGTCCCTCAGCCATAAAACTGCTGCAAAAGTTAAATAGCTTTGTATTCAAGATTAAACAACGCATACTATAGTTTGGTAAGCATTATTTCTTGAGCAAACTCACTGTGAATCTCCAACCAAACTATTTTTTAAAGAGCTCTGTTCTAGCCTTTATTTTTTCATGTAATTATTCTGTGTAATACAAAATTAAGATATTTTTAATGACAAGATATATTCATCTTATTGTTTTCTTTTTTGAGAAACAGTCTTGCTCTGTGGCCCAGGCTGAAGTGCAGTGTCATAATCTTGGCTCACTGTAACCTCTGCCTCCCAGGTTCAAGTGATTCTCATGCCTCATCCTCCCAAGTAGCTGAGAAAACAGGTGTGCGCCACCACATCTGGCTAATTTTTGTATTTTTAGTAGATACCAGGTTTAACCATGTTGGCCAAGCTTGTATTGAACTCGTGACCTCAAGTGACCCACCTGCCTCAGCCTCCCAAAGTGCTGGGATCATAGGCATGAGCCACCTCGCCCAGCCTTATTGTTTTCTTTTAATCTATCAAGTCTCTTAAAGGAGAAAATGAATGCTTATAGATTTTGATGCCTCTGTCAGGTCAGTAGCTCTTCAAAGGCAGTGTCTGGTGATATTTCTGTGACTAACCCCTCCTTCCCATGCCATAGGATGAAGGCTCACATCGGGTATGTAATACCTTAGTGCAATACATTAATTATTAATGGATTAGCTAAAAAGCAGATATAATTTGATCAGTGTAACAAAAAATATATTGTGCACTATTTTTTTTTCCAGACGATATTTTTTGGTAGCTTATTCCCAAATAGAATTCAATCTTTTGGGGCCTAGATACTGATTGAACATGCTCATGTGTTTTTGGAAAATTTGTAACAATAAAATATTTTAACTCTCATAGTTATAATATGATTGATTTTTGTTTCACTCTCCAACTTCCTCCCCTCCATCATACTTGCTCTTCGGTTGAAAGCTGTACAGTGGCATAGGACATTTTTGAGATTTAATAAGGGGATAGTGAATGGGGAGATTTTTTTTTTGTGGATTTAATGGCATTTATTTACCTGGTTTGCACCTACCTCCATGTACAGCTAGCTGCCTTGGTATAGAAAAGGCTTCCAGAAATAGTCCTACCATCCACTGTGCTGTGCTGACCCATACATAGGATGTATGCAGCCATGAGCAGGTCCTGTGGCTGGTACTGGTAGTATGTGAGCATAGAGGAGATTCAAGATTTGAGAGGTATGAATCCAGAAGCTAAACTGTGGAAAATCTTATAGGAAAAGATCAAAAAACAACTTAATAGAGATTTACCAAAATTTGACAATATTCCTGAAAATTTGTATGACTTCACTCATAATAAATTGTGACACTAGAAGAAAGTTTTCAAAATTTCAGTAACAATTTCAATTATATATGTGAGAGGAAAGATTGAATTGTTATTTCTAATTTTTTCTTTATTAACTATTATAAAGTTGTCATAAGAAGAGGCAATCAAAGAGTATGTGGTTGACCGGGCGTGGTGGCTCACGCCTGTAATCCCAGCACTCTGGGAGGCCGAGGTGGGTGTATCACAAGGTCAAGAGTTCAAGACCAGCCTCACCAAGATGGTGAAACCCCGTCTCTACTAAAAATACAAAAATTAACCAGCCATGGTGGTGGATGCCTGTAATTCCAGCTACTCGGGAGGCTGAGGCAGAGAATTGCTTGAACCCGGGAGGCAAGGTTGCAGTGAGCCTGGGTGATAGAGCAAGACTCTGTCTCAAAAAAAAAAAAAAGTGTATGTGGCCATAAACATGCAGATAAAAGTGTTATGGGAGGCTGGACATGGTGGTTCATGCCTGTAATCACAGCACTTTGGGAGGCCAAGACAGGTGGGTCACTTGAGTCCAGTAGTTAAGACCAGCCTGGGCAACATGGTAAAACCCCATCCCTACAAAAAAGTATGAAATATTGATCAAGCATGGTGGCTCGTGCCTATAGTCCCAGCTACTCAGGAGGATGAGAGAGGAAGATTGCCTGAGTCCAGGAGGTTGAGGCTGCAGTGAGCTAAGATGGCAGGCACCACTGCATTTACAAAAAAAAAAAAAAAAAAAAGCATAATAGATATGGGTCAGGAACTTAATACAAATATTACATTATCTCTTCTGGATTTTGTGATGTCTATGTAGGCATTTTGCATTAAAAATTATAATTTGTTATGTTTTTTCTTTCCAAATAAATGTTCATTTTTGGAATAAATTTTTTATTGTTTTAGTTAAAGAGAACCCCCAGACTGAAAATGTTACAGGCCTCACAAATCGGTATTTGCCCTTCATTCCATCTATTCCCCACTAATTAAACCAAATCCTCTTCTTAGTCTGTGATTAGTTTAGAGGTGGACAGTCTCTGCCCATTGGCTGTGAACCAGGAAGCAGGTAGCCCTCATTGCTTGCAGTTATCTTGATGGACACCAACTCAAGAGGCAGGCAGAACTGAGAGGACTTTGGAGACTGAGGGAACTGTGCTTGAAACCTGATCTATCTTTGGACACACAATATAGAAGTTCTCTAGTATTTATAATATCAGAATTTTCACAAGCAAAGCTCATTCTTATATTTAGTTGAATAGTTGAAATTATAAAGCTAGGTTAAAATGCAAACAAATGTAGAAAAATAGTGCTCATTTTTCTAAAGGATTTTCCATTGGTATGGAAACCATTCTAATCATTACATCTCTGATAGTTTATAGCATTGAAGCTATAAGAAAGTATCAATTTGGATGTTTTAAGGTACTACTTTATTAAATGTTAATTTATTTTAAAACTGCTGATTTATTCAATGTTAAAATACAGAAGACTAGGAATAAGAAAAAATGAATTCAGGTATGCCTCTAGAAATTTCATTTTGATGTACTTCCTTCTGATCATTTTTCTATGTATATGTTTTATTTGAAAAAATCTTTATGATAGTTTAATACAATTTTATCTTCTCCTTTTTTTCTATTATTCCCTATGACCCTAGTGATTTAGCACAGAAGGGCCTCCATGTTCACAAATTCAGGGGGCTTTTTTCACATTGTAGCCTATGTGAACGGCGTCCACTGGAGTTGTGCAGTAAATAGCCTGTGTGACTGTATGAGGCAGCCATTTACATCTGGGCGTCTAAGCCTTCATGTTTACCTAGAGCATCTTATGGTACCATCCCAACTACAGATTTGGGAATAAAAGGCAGGGCAAACCACTCCTGGCTGCCTTCCAGTACCATCATATAAATTTAATATTCAGCCTTTGTGCTTTTTCTCAGGCTGGCTTTGTCTGTAGCTGTGTCTCACAGCTGTCCTCTTACAAGGTTACATCTATGCCTTTTCTTCACCTTGGAATAATCTGCTGACTCCAGTGTATGAAAAAAAAGTGTTAAGTAAATTAACTTCATGGCTGTTTTAATGATCACATTTCATTGTTATATCATTTTGGATGGTTCCAATTTGACTTCCTTCTGTCAGTTTCTTTGGATTGATTTTCTATCGGCTCATTTTCAGAAATCTATACTGTTATTATCCTTGCCCTATCTCGAGAAACAGTTAATCTTCATGATTCTAATTTTCTTTTTGTCAAAAAGTGAAATATTACTCATAACTCTATAAAGGTACCTAAATAATGGTGAAAAGACAAATTACATAACTATTTGTAATGGCAAAATATCCTATTTCTTTAATAGTGAAAATACTAACTTACTGGTAACTGCAGACATATTTTTACACCTAATTGATAATTTTTAGTTCTCTGATAGCTCCTGCCAATTCCTCTTACGCACGTATTTTGCCAATATAGGATGTGGGTAGGTGAGGGATTACTCAGAAAAACGGAACCTCATTCTTGGCTGATAGGATGATGAACTGTGTGATAAAATGCATAACCTTTTCCTCCACCCTTGGTTCACAAAACTTTTAGTTTTCTAACTTTCATTTTATGCAAACAGGGTTGGCTGCTCAAACCAAGCTTTTGAGAGAGTACAGCAAACAAAGCAATTTCTTAAAAGTTTAAGCCCCTCCTCTACAAAAGGAAAGAAAGGGGTGAGAATTAAAAGCGAGAGAGGTAGAAAAGGAAGGCTAGGTTGTTAGAAAAAGAGACAAGAGAGGCAAGGGAGGGGTGAAGGAGGAGGAGCAGGAGTGAGAGAAGCAAAGTAATCTGGACAATTATTTTGCCTAAAAGTTTGAGATTGAATTGAAAAGTTTCTGCTTGAATTGATGTAGGAAATTAAGCAGTTTGATCTTTGTTCTGATATTTGTCTTGCAATAAGACCATTTTATGTATCAAATGTTATGTAGAGAAAGACTAGGTATTATTTTTCTGAGACTCCAGAGAACCTAGACACCTGTCTAAATTATATGAAAGTTCTGTAAAGTTATTAGCAAATATATATACATATATATATATACACACATATATATACATATATATATATACACACATATATATACATATATATATACACACACATATATATACATATATATATATACACACATATATATATTTTGAGATGGAGTTTCGCTCTTGTTGCCCAGGCTGGAGTGCAGTGGTGCAATCTCGGCTCACTGTAACCTCTGCCTCCCAGATTCAAGTGATTCTCTTGCCTCAGCCTCCCAAGTAGCTGGGATTACAGGCATGTGCCACCACGCCCAGCTAATTTTTGTATTTTTAGCAGAGATGGGGTTTCACCATGTTAGTCAGGCTGGTCTTGAACTCCTGACCTCAGGTAATCCACCGGCCTCGGCCTCCCAAATATTTTTATAAAACATATTCTATAGTATAAATACTCTGTGGAGGGTGCCACCAAAGTTGATATTAAACCTTGCTTTTTTTTGAGACAGGGTCTCACTCTGTCCCCCAGGCTGGAGTACAGTGGTGCAATCTTGGCTCACTGCAGCCTTGACCTCCCCCGTGCTCAGGTAATCCTCCCACTTCAGCCTCCTGAGTAGCTGGGATGACAGGCGCACACCACCATGCATGCCGCCATGCCTGGCTAGTTTTTCATGGCTGGCTAATTTGTTTTGTTATATTTTTTGTAGAGATGAGGTTTCACCATGTTGCCCAGGCTGGCCTTGAACACCTGGGCTCAGGCGATCTGTCCACCTTGGCCTCCCAAAGTATTAGGATTATAGGCATGAACCACTGTACCCGGCCTTAAAAAAAAAAAAAGACAGAGATTCACTGTGTCTCCCAGGCTGATTTCTAATTGCTGGGCTCAAGCGATTCTCCCACCTCAGCCTCCAGAGTAGCTGGGACTGCAGGTTCACACCACTGTGCCCAGCCAATGCTATTCTTCAAACAGCCCAATGGGAGCAGAAAATATACTATGTGTGCTCAAGTCATCTACACCATGGCTGTCTGTGTTACTAGTGTGTTTGAAATTTTACAGATCAGTAAGAATTTCAGTGGCTCACTAGGCTTTATGAACCAATATATGTAGGAGTGGGTTACCCAGCAACCACTCTATGGCTTTAAGATGAGAAGGTAGGGGAAGTGAGGAAGTCACACTTACCTGCCTGCTGCCTGCCTTCCTTCTCCCATAGCCATGCTCTTGGCTGGGGAGAAAGGGTAGATGTAGAGCCTCCAAGAGCTGCAGAACTATTAAAAATCCAGTGGGTTTCTTTCATAAACACATAGATGCTTTTCTAAATCCAACAGAAATCTGACTCCCTGACCTGATTGTTAGGCTTGTGGTCAGAATCCCAGCACATGAACTGGCACTGCTGCTGGGAATTATGAGTCACCCTTTCATGTTCTTCCTGGTGTTGAAGCAAGTCTCTGCAGAGGAAAAAGAGCAATCTGTCAGGTGAGCTCATCACTGTTATCGTCACTGTCTAAGCTCTAACTTCCCAAGAGACCATGCAATGTATGTGAAAGAGCCCTTTTCGAATTCCAGAAACATCACTGTCTCATTACGTGACCTTGGACATGGTTACTTAAGTTCTCAGAGTCTCAGTTTTCTTGGTTAAAATGGAAGAGTTGTCACCGAAACTTAAATAGTTAATGTATGGGAAGTATCATGCAGATCTAGAAAAGTGAAAATATTATTTTATAATACTGTGGACACAGTATAAAGCACATTAGATATTATTTATACCCTCTACATTTTGAAAAGCTTTTGAGATATCTACAACATAAGAAGAGGAGAAAGGAAAGACCCATCAAATAGTAGATGACTATTTGTTAGGTCCTTATTCACTCGGCACTTATTGGTCAATATTCTATGCAAGGTCTGTGGGTTACTGTGGTGATACGAGAATCTGTAAGATATATGGCATGTCTTTAAAGAGTTTATAAATCTAGGAGGAAAGATTGAACATAGACACAAGCAATTCAGAAGAGAACATGTGCTCTGTTTAAAATGTGCACATAAAGTAACTGCTATAGCACTTCAAAGCAGACTAATTCTGAGGAAGACTCACTGTAGAAGAAAGGCAATCCAAGCCAGTTCCAACATGTGTTGAGTATCCATTATGAGGACTGCTCAGGTATTTGTATATTCAATAAGGACTCTCAGATAAAAGAAACTGCCTGAGTCAAGACATGAAGGTAGAAATACATATATAAGGTGCAGCAGGGAACAACAATGAGCTCATGTGGAAGCAGTGCCCTAATAAAGAAAGATAAACTTGAAATCATTTTGAAGAAGTGCATAACATCATGGATGCCCTTACATATAAATCCAACATTTGGTCTTTTGTCCTGTAGATAGTGCAAGTAATGCATCCTATGGAAGCCCTTAAGAAGAATAAATAAATAAATATATATATATATATATATATATATATATATACATTTTTGAGATAGAGTCTTGCTCTGTCGCAGGTTGGAGTGCAGTGGTGTGATCTCGACTCACTGCAGCCTCTGCCTCCCAGATTCAAGAAATGCAGCCTCCGGAGTAGCTGAGACTACAGGCACACGCCACCACGTCCAGCTAATTTTTGTATTTTTAGTAGAGACAGGGTTTCACCATGGTGGCCAGGATGGTCTCGATCTCCTTACCTTGCGATCCGCCTGCCTCGGTCTCCCAAAGTACTGGGATTACAGGCATGAGCCACTGCGCCTGGCCTAAAAATCTTTTTAAAAAAATATTTTTGTTCTGCTTGCGGATTTATCATACGTGGTCTTCCTCTCTGTTGAACTGGATTGGCTCTGATTCTGGGAAAGATTATGTAAGAATTCTTCATTTTTGATAATAGAATTTCAACTTTGTTATCAGCTATTCTAGAACCCAAAGCTTCTGGAAATTTCTTTTATTTATTTATTTATTTTGAGGTGGAGTCTTGCTCTGTTACCCAGGCTGGAGTGCAGTGGTGAGATCTTGGTTCACTGCAACCTCCGCCTCCCTGGTTCAAGTGATTCCCCTGACTCAGCCTCCTGAGTAGCTGGGACTACAGGCATCCACCACCATGCCCAGCTAATTTTTGTATTTTTAGTGGAGACGGGATTTCACCATGTTGGCCAGGCTGGTCTTGAACTCCTGACTTCAGGTGATCTGCCCGCCTTGGCCTCCTAAAATGTTGGGATTACAGGCATGAGCCACTGCGCCTGGCCTAGAAATTTCTTAAGGCAATAAAATATAGTGGTTGAAACTCCTGGCACCACTCTTTTGTATACTGGTACCGAAAGAAGGTTTAAACAATTGACAATTGGAAGAGACTGTCTTAGAGATACGTTGTCTCCTTAATGTCCCAACTCACTAGAACTCAAATATTAACATTTGTATCAGTCAGGGTTTAGTCAGGAAAAAAGAAACCACACCAACTATTTTAAGAGATAATTTACACAGGGAAATTTAGTTATATAGATATTGGAGGACTGACAGGGGAAAAAGGAACAAATACACAGGGAAAGTAATTGCAGAAAGCAGCTGCTACCACTAGGCCTGGGGGGAAAGGTGAAAGGTTGGGGTTGTTGGAAACTACAAGCTTGGAGAAGGTGGAAGCTGGAATCCAGACCTCTGAGGTGAGGAAGCTGCCTGGATGGCACTGGTGCTTCAGAACGCAGAGGAGAGTCCAGTGGAGCTGGAACCCAGATTTCAGAAGATGCTCTGAGAGAGTGGCATGAACTAGGTTCTGGGAGATGGGGAAATAGTGGAAACTGGAACCAACTGCTACTAGAAAAAGCTAGAACTGCTGGCGTGAAGAACCACAGCTAGGTGATACTGACAAGAATAGCAAGCAAACGGGAAGGAGTGTGTTCCACCTCCTTCCTCCCGTCTGTTCTCTCTCTAGCTCCCCCATTGGCAGAATCTAACCGGAAGCCAGGTGGCAAAAATGACACTGGAGGTTACCCACAACCGGCTTCAGCATCACAAGGCCAAATATGGAAGAGCGGGTTTGATCCTGAAAGAGTACTAATAACTAGCACTGCAGACACACAATTCACCAGGATAACTTATTTACAATTGAGAATTTTGAAATCTGTACCAGAGTTCTGATTCAGTAGTTGTAGAGTGGGGCTTAGAAATCTTCACCTTTGAAACAGCCTTGAATAATTTGATGCAGGACATCTTCTAAACACCCTTTCAGAAATGCTGCTCTAGTCTGTCTAAGCTAAATCCCTGAATCAAGTTAGAACAAGGCTTGGTGACATGCTCAACTCCACTAATTTAGGAGTTAAACTCAATAATTAATTTTACTTTCTTAAGTTTTTTCATAAAAAATGCTTATATGAAGAATGCCTCTGAGGTATCTTCAAAAACTGCAATTTAAAAATTTGTCCATTGTGGTATGCCACATCTCGCATTCACATATAATGTTTATAATTCTAAAACATATAAAAAGGAAATGATTAAAATAGAAACTTTGAATGAGATAATATATACAATTTCATGTGAGAAGATAGGTTTTTCACATGAACTTGTATGTTTTTTCTTGTCAGTCAAAAGAAAAGAAAAGAAATAACACTTTGCATTTCTCTTTTGCTTTGGCTGCCAGGAAGCTCAGAGTCATTCAGTAGAATCTCATCCAAGGCTTCTGTTTGGATAATTTTATTTTTACATTTTTAAAAACTGTGAATTGCTTCATCTTTTTTCTTGAAACATATTGAACAATAAATTCATATAGGAATTAAAATTATACATATTTTTCAAAATGCTTTTACATATACTACCTTGAAGTTCTCACTTATTAAACTCAAGGTATAATAAAGGCCCAAATTGATGTCCTCTTAGAAGAAATTCATCTGCTGTGGCAGTTTTGAGAAGGTACTGGTCTTCAATATGAAATAATTTTTTCATACAAATATGTGTCATTAATATATCCTCTAGGATTCTTTACACTTTATAAGCTAGATTAAAAGCCTATTGAGTGCTGGGCATGGGGGCTCACGTCTGTAATCCCAGCAATTTGGGAGGCCAAGGCAGTCAGATTATTTGAGGCCAGGAGTTTGAGACCAGCCTGGACAAGAGGGTAAAACTCCATCTCTACTCAAAACACAAAAATTAACTGGGTGTGGTGGTGCGGGCCTGTAGTCCCAGCTACTTAGAAAGCTGAGACATGGGGAGAATCACTTGAACCTGGGAGGCAAAGGTTGCAGTGAGCCAAGATGGCACCATTGCATTCCAGCCTGGGCGACAGAGCAAGACTGTCTCCAGAAAAAAAAAAGCCTATTGATACAATTCTACCTTTTTAATATTTAATTTATTTCTACTGTTTATATAGTCATACCTTAGAAACTTGAGAATGACAATAAAACATTATTATGCTAGGAGTAGGCAATCTGTTAAAAATTCAGACACAGAGTGCTATAGGCCAGGGGTGTCCAATCTTTTGGCTTCTCCGGGCCCCACTGAAAGAAGAATTGTCTGGGCCACACATGAAATACACTAACACTAACGATAGCTGATGAGCTTAAAAAAATCGCAAAAAAAGTCTTATAATTTTAAAAGAGTTTATGAATTTGTGTTGGGCCATATTGAAAGTGTCCTGGGCCACATGCATGGATAAGCTTGCTCTAGGCAAATAAGATGTCTTAGATCTGAGTGGGCTTATAGTAGATTGACATGGAACTGGTTTTATTTTTCTGCAATAACTTACCACCTTGCAGAATTTCTTTTATTTATTTATTTATTTATTTATTTTTGAGATGGAGTCTCACTCTGTTGCCCAGGCTAGAGTGCAGTGGCACGATCATGGCTCACTGCAACCTCCCGGGTTCAAACCTCCCGAGTAGCTGGGACTACAGGCATGCCCCATCATGCCTGGCTAATTTTTGTGTTTTCTAGTAGAGACAGGGTTTTGCCATGTTGGCCAGGCTAGTCTCGAACTCCTGACCTCAAGTGATCTGCCCGCCTTCATTTATAGACATCATATTGTGTATAATGCCTGAGAAAGTACATAATAGTGAAATAAACATCCTAGACACTTACTTTATAGTTGTTTTTGATGACTCGTAAGAGTGATGTAAAAAAAAATAAAAGAGTGATTCGGCTGGGTACTATGGCTCGTGCCTGTAATTTCAACACTTTAGGAGGCTGAGGTGGGCAGGTCACTTGAGGTCAGGAGTTTGAGACCAGCCTGGCCAAAAAAGGTGAAACCCCATGTCTGCTAAAAATACAAAAATTAGATCAGCGTGGTGGCACATGCCTGTAGTCCCAGCTACTCCGGAGGCTGTGGCAGGAGAATCGCTTGAACCTGGGAGGCAGAGGTTGCAGTTAGCTGAGATCGTGCTGCTGCACTCCAGCCTGGTTGACAGAGTGAGACTCTGTCTCAAAAAAAAAAAAAAAAAAAAGTGATTTAGTCTTATAAAGGGGATCATTTCACGACCTCAAAGTCTGAGTCACTTTACATGGTAATTAAAATGAACCCATTGCACTGAATCTTCCATGGTAGAAAACAGTAATATGGTATCTCCCCTATTGTTGAAAGAGTATCAGCTGTGAGTAAACATATGAGCAATAGGAATCCCCAGGTCCAGTTGGAAAAAAATGATAAAAACTTATGAGCAAATATTTGTTTTCTGGCTGCTACACTATTGTGTTCTTTTAACTAATACAAATAATGTAATTTGGGGAATATTCAACTTATAGAGCCCTTTTCTACCTCAAAAAGAAAGTGCTTCCTATTGCTCTCTTTGCTTACTAAAGCTTGTCATGGATACAGTCTTGGCGAGGGTGATAAAGAGCTCTGGCATTTGGTCTGTTTCACCTGAATTGTAACTAGGGTCCCCTGATGAAATTATCTCCTGCAGGGACTACTTATTTATTGTTTATCTTCTGTTTAACTAGAATGTTTTTAGCAGATACAAGGTGATCTCATTTACATCATGAATATGGTTTCTGGACATCTTATCTTTATAACTATACAAATAATTCATCTAAATTCAAATAAGTAACAGAAACAACAGTTAAAATTTGCCATATATTGTAGCCCTTAAAATACTTTGGAGAAAAAGGAATATGACATTCCATAAAATCAGAAAACATAAATATAGAGTTGGGATAAGGAAATTCAAGAGCCTAATCTGGAAGACAAGGATTCACCTATGTATTAACAAAAGGTTCTACCAATGTAATCCAAGACATGAAACAGTATCTGGCAAAGCCTGTGGGAAAAAGCACTGGAGAGGGAGACAGATTACTTGGGTTCTAGTCTGGGCTCTGCCACTAAATGAGTGTGTGCCCTTGAACAGATCAGAACTCTCTATGAATTATTCCATTTGTAAAATAAGAGAATTAGATTAATATATTTTTATAAGATTCCCATTGTTCTAACAGTCTGTCCCTAGGTGTTCCATAAAATATACAAGTAGATTAAGTTAGAATTACCTGTTTAAGAGTAGCTTTTCAGATTGATGATTATTTCAGTTCATTCTGCATAAGGATACCAGACAAGGCAACTCAAGTCCTGGGAGGGTCAGAAAGTGCAGGAGCTTAAGTCTATCTGTTAATGAGTTACTGTAGGGGAGGCAGAGAAAGGGTAATATATCTGTTTATTTTGCAATTTATACAGTTCAAGGGGACAGTTTCTAAAATATATGCTATTTGTTTCCAAACTATGCTACTTTAGGAAATGCATAATTTTGGTGGTTAATGGTAGTATAATAAAACTTAGTTATGGCATTTAGCCATCTGTCATTTACCCTCTTTACATGTGTTGTTTATGTATTTTCTGTTTTTATGTAATTAGCTCCTTTGGTGTGTTCCTACATGGAAGGATACTGCCTCTTTCTGATCCTACCTGAGCTTCTGAAATAATTAGATTGGGGAGAAAAATGCTGAATTGAAATCTGTCTGACTTTTAAACAATGATGTTGACTCACTTTATGCTAGAATACGACAAGCCAGATATTATTTTCTGTGCAACACTAAAAAATTATTTGCCGTTTTTTTCTTTTCTTGCTCAGTTTTATTTTTTTTTCTTTTATTTTACTTTAAGTTTTGGGCTACATGTGCTGAATGCTCAGGTTTGTTACATAGGTATACATGTACCATGGTGGTTTGTTGCACCTATCAACCCCTCATCTAGGTTTTAAGCCCCGCATGCTCTCCCTCCCCTTTTCCCCCACCCCGTGACAGGCCCCAGTATATGATGTTCACCTCCCTGTGTCCATGTGTTCTCATTGTTCAACTCCCACTTATGAGTGAGACCATGCGGTGTTTGGTTTCCTGTTCCTGTGTTAGTTTGCTGAGGATGATGGTTTCTAGCTTCATCCATGTCCCTGCAAAGGACATGAACTCATTCTTTTTTATGGCTGCATAGTATTCCATGGTGTATATAAACTGATTGTTCATGTAGTGCACTACCTATAGCACATGGTCTAATAAATGATCTCTTTACCACCTGTTTACAAGGCAAAAAATTAAAAAGAACAGTAACTCTGACACTAATCATATTGACAAGGAAATAATAAACACAAACCACAGATTTATAAGGTGAACAATTGTGCCAAAGTCTTTTTTTTCAGATATCTATTTTCATTTTATTTATTTATTTATTTATTTATTTATTTATTTATTTATTTGAGACAGAGTCTCACTCTGTCACCCAGGCTGGAGTGAAGTGGCATGATCTTGGCTCACTGCAACCTCTGTCTGCCTCCCTGGTTCAAGTGATTCTCCTACCTCAGCCTCCCGAGTAGCTGGGATTACAGGCATGTGCCATCACACCTGGCTAATTTTTGTATTTTTGATACAGATGGGGTTTTGCCACATTGGCCAGGCTGGTCTTGAACTCCTGGCCTCAAGTGATCCGCCCGCCTCAGTCTCCCAAAGTGCTGGGATTACAGGCATGAGCCACCACACCCAGTCTATTTTCATTTTTAGTGTTTTACTATTTTTCCTATTCATTAGCAATGTTAATTGATAGATCTCCTGAAGGCCAAGGACAATATATCACAACATTTAAAGATAAGAATCACATAAATGTCTAATGGGAAAATATTCCCAATTGTAGAATCAATGAAGACTGAAGTTAAAAAAAGGATGCATACAGAGGAGAGAAAAGTATCAATGCAACAGCAGTGTGTAATATGCAAGAGATCCAGTGGTTAGTTTTTGTTTGATAATTATGTTCTCGCAAATTTATGTGTAGTTTTAAAATATGTTGGATTCAGGCATTGAGGCTCCTCGAAAAATTATAGGTAGATGATACATTAAATCAGTCTACAGGTTTATACAGTTACAGGGTAAAAATTATTATCTACTGAATTTTAATGTGTTGAATGTCTATTTCAAGTCCATTTGTCAAAATAAAGTATGGTGGTAGCAAATGTCTTTAATCTGAACAGAATGGTTTTTATTGATAAATTGATGATTGAATTTCAGGAGCTAAAATTCTATATTGCTTTCTAATTTTCTTATTGGTTTATTTGCAAGTCAAGTGTAATAGTAGGAAGTTAACTATAGTTTTAACATTGAATTAGAACTGTCACACATGAATTGCTTAATACCTTTTCTGGATTTTAGTAGACTGACCTGTATTTCATTTTCATGTCCTACTTTTTAATTCAATTGAGTCACATAATGGGCTGTAATTGAGTCACAAAACAGGAAATAAGCTTGTGCCAAGTATATGGAACAAACTTGGCATATGTGGTGTCTTTACCCTTATTAGTGGAAAGTCAGTTCTGGTAAATCAATCAGTCAGTTTATCATTAGTATTTCCCTCACCTGGTAAGAC